>NC_000015.10:23882934-24185964 GCF_000001405.40 Homo sapiens | reverse complement strand
CCCTGTACCAAGAAAACGTGATCCTGAATGCAGAAATATGATTTATGTTCCCTGACACTGAAATTTCTTATTCTTGCCTTATATCATCTGGAATTCATGTCTTCCGAAAAGGTTAGTGGGATCTTGAATATACTCTGCTAAATGCTGTCCTAAAATGGGGCTTTCTGGGATATGTGAAAAACAGGCATCTTCCTTTCAAGAAGTGGATGCTGACACTCTAATGACTAGGTAGTGGGGAAGGAGAAAGAGGATAAGAGTCCTTGGAGCTTGAAGGTACCTTCCTGAAGCAGTGGCTCCTGGGTTTCAAATGTTGCCTAGAAAAGAAAAGCTAGTTTACTGTTCTCTCCCTACATGCCCACTTGTATTTGGAGGCAAAAGTTTTTTGCTGATGTCTTTACTTGCTTACTTTTTAAAAAAAAACAAAATAATAATATTAAAAAAATATTTATTTTGAAATAACTGCAGATTTACATAAATGCACATAGGTAAGTACAGACAGTTTCATATACCATTCAGATAACTAGAATGTTAGTATCTATTATAACCATAGCATATTCATGAAAACTAAGAATTTAACTGTTTTTCAAGACTATTAACTGATCTACAAACTTCCTTCATATTTTACCAGGTTTTCTAATAATGATATACTTATCTATTCCAGGACCTAATCCAGAATACCACCTTACAATTACTGTCAGGTATATTACTTACTACTTGGTGCATAACAAATTACCACATACCTTAGTGGCTCAAAACCACACACATACTACTCACAGTTTCTCTGGGTCTTCGGTCTAGATGTAGGTGATGGCTCAGGCTGAGGCTCAGCTGGGGAAGGGTCTCCTTCCAAACTCACATGATTGTTCTTAGGATTCACCTCCCTGCCCTCATCAGGAACTCATTGATGTGTTATTAAAATCACATAAAATTAATACTAATTTATCAAAAATATTTCAAAACAATACAATAATAATAAAGAAGTAGAAAATAGATCACTTCCCATTGTATACTATGAATTAGTTTACCCTGATTGAACAACTACACAAAGACATTTCAAATAAGGAAAATGAAGACCAATATGCCTTATAAATACAGAGACAAAAATCACCAGCGAGATATTATCAAATGAAATCAGCAACATGTAGAAAGTATTATACACTATGGTAAAGGGTATTTACCTCAGGAATGCAAATTTGGTTCAATATAGGATACAACTAAAGTCATACACTATATTAATAAAGAATAAAAACTACACAATCATCTCAGAAGGTATGCAACAAGCACTTGAAAATTCCCAGATTCCATATTATAAAAACATGCAGCAAATTAGGCAGATAAGAGAACTTTCTGCATTTCAAAGGGCATCTATGAAAAGCTCACATATCATCATAAGTAATCTGAAAGGTTCACTAATTTCTCTGATATTAGAAACAAGTCAAATATTTCCACTGTTGACACTAGTTTGCAACATTGTACTGGAGAATGTAGACAGGGCAATTGGCTTAGAAAAATAAATATAATGTTTCTAATATGGAAAGGAAGTCAAACTCTGACTGTTTGCAAATGACATGATCGTATGTACAAAACGTCCAAAGAATTCTAATCAAATATGTTTAGAATTTAAAGACGAGTTCAAAGAAATTTGCAGTATATAAAATATATAAAATATTTTAAATTTCTCTATACTAGCAATTAACAATCTAAAAACAAAACTCAGAAAACCGTTCCAATTGAGATCGAATCAAAAATACTTAGGAATAAGCTTATCAAATTAAGTATAAGATATGTACACTAAAAACTATATAACACATATTGAACAAAATTAATAGAAAATCTTTGAATGCTCATTGTTTACAAGGGTTAATATTGTTAGGTTGGCAATATTTTCCAAATGGATCTATAGAATTAATGCAACTTCTCTCAAAACATTCCCCTAAATTCAGAAGGTTATCCTCAAATTTATATATAATATAGATCCTGAGCAGCCAAAATACTCTTGAGAAAGACAAAAAGGGTTTGCATAGTAGACATATGCTTCCTGATTTCAAAACTTACTACAAAGTAATAGTAATCAAGATTTGTGGTACTAGTGTAGGGATATATGTATTGATCAATGGAGTAGAATATAATACTCAAAAATGAATCCTTACATTTATGGTGAAATGCTTTTATATTGTGGCCAAATAAATTAGTTATGAAGCAATATTTTCTTGTCAAATGTTTCTGGGTCAAGTGGATATCCACATGCAAGTTAGATTCTTGCCTCATACCAGAAACATAATTGACTCAAAATGACAATCTATCTAAATATAAGAGCTAAACAGAGCCAACCCATAAAAAGAAACACAGGAATACATCTTTGTGGTCTTTGGTTAAACAATGTTTTAAGATATGACACTGAAAAACACAAAGGAAAGAAGAAAATATAGAAATATTAAACTTCATTAGAATTAAAACCTTTTGCAATTTAAAGTCCACCATCAAATATAAAGAGGCACCCAAAGAATGGCAGAAAATATGTGAAAATTGCAAATTTTATAGGTGATAATGGTCTATTATCCAGAATATGCAATGTCTTACAACTCAAAATTTAAAAGGCAAATATCCCAATCAAAAATGGCAAAATCTTAAATAGCCAATTCTCAAAAGAAAGCCATAGTCATATCCAAAATCACATGAAAATATGCTCAATGTCTTTTGTCATTATGAGGTAGGAGACTGGAAGGATTTGTTTTCTGGTTTCACAACCTTGATGACCAAAATAAGATCTGCTCCAGACAGGATAAAGTGAAAAAACTGGCAGAAGCCTGTACGTTGCGGTAAATGTGATCCCTGGCAGTCTTCATTTGTCACTCACATAAGACACTCCTACCAACCACATAAGTGTTTACAAATTCCATGGCCACAACTCAGAAGTTACTGCCCTTTCCATGGAGACAACCTAGAAGTCACTGCCCCTGTCCTGCCTCAATTTGCCTTGACTTGCCCCTCAATTTGCATATAATTAAAAGTGGGTTTGATTGCATATAAATACAGTTGCCAAGAGGCCTATATGTTGCCAACTCTGAACACACTGCTTAAGAGTTAGCCCTGCTCTGCTAGGAGCAGTACCATTCAATAAAATATTGCAGTCTAACATCACCCACTAGCCCTTAAATTCTTTCTTGGACAAAGCTAATAACCCTCTCAGGATAAGCCAAAATTCTGTGACTCACCTGTCCTACAAAAATTGGGTGAAGGCAAATCTAAAAACCATGAGGTGTACTTCAAAAATCTAAAAAGCATATTGCTAAAAAATATAAGTTGGAAAAGGTAAAATACTGTGAAAAGGCAAACTTGTTACCTACTAAATAAGCTTTTAAATTTGCATAATTTAGCTACACTCTTTGTGTTACAAAGTTCTTCAGGATTTGGAAAACATTATGATGTATCCACCATTACAGTATCAAAGAGGAATTTCACTGCCCCAAAGAAATCTTCGGTAGTTCACTGATGTCACCTATATCTCTCCCAAGCCCCTTGTTACCACTGAACTCTTTACTATCACTACACTTTTTCCTTTTCTAGAGAGTCATATAAATGGAATTACACAGTATTTTGACTGTTTCAACTTCTATTTTTCTACATAGCCATATACCTTGTTCAGGTAGCATGATTAAATTAACAACATCAACTTGCTTGCAGGGAGTGCTAGATCACATACAAATGAGAATGAGTGGATCCATTTATATGGTCCTGGATTAGGTCATATGGTGTTGGAAACATTAGCAGAAAGTATAAAATTACCAAATTACCCTGAAGCAGAATTAAATTCACAGACTGGAGCATATAATAGTGACTGAACAAAAGAAAATGCCAAACAACAACAAAACCAACCAACCACACAACATCAAACTTTAATTATGCAGGTATTTCAAAGTGATAGAAGGGACAACTTAAAAACCTTCCAATAGCCAACACTGGAACAATTTGTGCAATTAAAAAAAAAATAGCAGCCGAGCATGGTGGCTCATGCCTGTAATCCCAGCACTTTGGGAGGCCGAGGAGGGTGGATCATCTGAGGTATGGAGTTTGAGACCAACCTGGCCAACATGGTGAAACTCAGTCTCTACTAAAAATACAAAACTTAGCCAGGTGTAGTGTCTCATGCCTGTAATCCCAGCCACTCAGGAGATTGAGGCACGAGAATCGCTTGAACCCAGGGGGCAGAGGTTGCAATGAGCTGAGATCGCACCATTGCACTCCAGCCTTGGCAACACAGAAAGGCTCTGTCTCAAAAAAAAAAATAGCACATATGCATTGTAAAATAAATCTCCATATTTAGATAATGATATAAATAAAAGATGCATGTTTAAGTGAATAAATTAATACACATGAAATAATTGGAAGAGAATAGGCACATGTTTACGGTGAAGGTTTAAAGGAATTTGTAGACATTCTGCCAATAATGACTGTCTACCCTTGTTGACAGTTTTTACTCTTGGTATGATATGATGAGAATGGCACTTTTTGGCCAGGCACAGTGGCTCACGCCTGTAATCCCAGACCAGCCTGGACACCACATTAAGACCCCATCTCTATAACAAAATAAATATCACTTGAGCCCATGAGTTTGACCCCGGCCTGGGCAACATGGTGAAACCTTGCCTCTACCAAAAAAAATAACAAACAACAACAACAATAAATTAGTCCAGCCTGGTGGCACATACCTGTAGTCTCAGCTACCCTGGAGGTTGAGAGGGAAGGATCCTTAAGCTCAGAAGATGGAGGCTGTAGTGAGCCAAGCTCATGACACTGCACTCCAGGCTAGGCGAGAGAGTGAGACACTGTCTCAAAATTAAATAAATAAATAAAAATGACACTTTTCCTCGTGATCTTCCTCCCCTAAACCCACAAATCCAGTCTTATCATTAGAGAAACATCAGACAAATCCCACATTAGTAATATTAATGGCATCAAAAATAAGGAAACTCTGAGAAACTGTGACAGTCAGAGAATTCTAAGGAGACATGACATGTACCTGTGATGAGGTATCCTGGATGAAATCCTGGAATAGAAACAGGACATTAAGTCAAAACTAAAAAAAAATGAATAAAGTATGAAGAGTAGTTATAGTGTTATAAAACTGATTGCTTGTGACAAATGTCCTACATTAATGTAAGAATTTCATAAAAATGGAAACTTCGTAGGATATGTGGAAATTCTATGTACTACAACTGTTCTGTAAACCTAAAACTATTCTTAAATTTATAAGGTTTCTTTATCTTTAAAGTCACTGTTGACCTTATAAAACAACATGAGCAATATGTTTGATGGCCCATAGTGCATCTCCTGAGCTTCACCATCTTCCTTAATCACTGAAAATAGCTATTACTGTGAATTATTTGTTATCCTCTAATTTGTGTTTATTACATTTACCTCTATGTTTATATTTCTAATATCTATAATGTTTATTTTTCTTGTCTTCAAACACACATGCATGGTTTTAATGTATTTATGTCCCAGTTTAATCATGAGAAATCATGAGACAAATTCATATTGTGGGAAAACCTACATAATATCTGACCTGTGTTTTCAAAAAAGTCAAGTTCACAAAAAATAAGTGAAGACTGAGAAATCTGCAGATTAGAGAATACTTGATGTGTCAGGTAGACCCTACGATGGTGCCCAGTGAACCTCACCTGTAAGAAATACACCGCTTACATTATCTCATGTGCTCTGTTGAGTGGCCTCCTCTGTGTCTCACATGACCAACACACCTGAACTTAACATTTTTCCAATTCAGAGTTTTCCTAGAAAGTGGTTGTCTTGATATGAATGTAGTGGTCACAGTTCTGCAAAGTGCCATAAGGGCATCTGACAGTATTTAAAAGTTTACAGTAATCCAACCCCAATGCCCATCAATCAATGAGTGGATAAGGAAACTGCGGTATATATATATATATAATGGACTACTATTCAACCATAAAAAGGAATGAGTTAATGGCTTTTGCAGCAACCTGGATGAGATTAGAGATTATTATTCTAAGTGAAGTAACTCAGGAATAGAACACCAAACATCGTAGGATCTCACTCATAAGTGGGAACTAAGTTATGATGCAAAGGCCTAAGAATGATACAATGGACTCTGGGAACTCAGGAGAAAAGGGTGGGAAGGGGGTGAGGGATCAAAAACTACAAATAGGGTGCAGTGTATATTGCTCGGGTGATGGGTGCACCAAAATCTCACAAATCACCACTAAAGAACTTACTCATGTAACCCAAACCACCTGTTCCCGAATAACGTATGGAAATTAAAAAAAATTACAGTAAGAAGGATGCCTGGTAAAGGACTGGACAATTAGGCATTGTGTCATCTGCAAGGATAAATAAGTATCCTATGAAAGGTGCACTGTCAACATCCAGGACCAATTTCCTGGAGTCCTGTTGGACATCGTTATAATTTGAAGCCATTGTCCCAAGAGAGACCTCAAGAGAATATCAGATACTACAAAAATACAACATAGATGTATAGGTAATTTTACAAATCATGGCTCGAAGATCCCATGGAGAAGGAAGATAGAAATGGTAAAGTGTTACTTGAAAGTTTACAGAGTTGCAGAGTGCAGCTCTCTCAAGACAGAAATACTCATCTTGAGACTGTTTGCCTTAATCTCAGAAATATAGGCAGAGACTATTCGAAGTTGCTTTCCAAATCCAGTTCTTCATTTCGATCAACTACCTATCTTTTTCTCCTCTCCTTTTATTCTTCCTATGTCATAAACGATGGTCATGTGAATCTCACTGTAAGCAGTCGCTGCTGACGCAGGCACGTTACAGTCATCATGAAATGCTTTGCTCTGACCATTTGTCACTCTTGTCAACTCCACTTGTTGATACTTGGAAAATCAAACAGGCCTTGGTGTTCCCTGAAGACTGCACTGCATGAAGAAGAAACTCATATAATTTATAATTTAGAATGTTGAGCATATTTGCACTGAGAGTTTCAGCTTCTATGAGGGCTCAGTTCAGTGAACAGAAAGCCCTAATTTCAAATATAGGAGTCATGCACCTTTTAAGCTTTATTCTCCATTCAGGGTAGAGGGTGGAGAGGGGTTGGGTTCAGGCCTCATGATGTGGTCAGACAATGAGATGTTTTCAATAGCATCTTTCTGAGAATTCTGGTGGCCAATCCAGCCTCAGTACAACGTGGTCACAGGTGGTTTACTGTCTTGTGAGAAATCATAACTTCCATGCTATGGTGGTAGAGTTTCGGAGCTCGGTGCTCAGCACTGTGTTTGTTCTCTGTGCCAGGGACATCACGGTAGCACAGTTTTGTGTCTATCACATTTCCTATCTTAACCCTGGGCACTCAGAACTCATTGACCCTCTTGCTACCTAGAGATGAGTCTCTCCTTAGACAAATCTACTTCCATCTCCTTCATGGCCTGCCACTTGGTGATTTTGTTTTTCCTGAACAGTTTGGTCATGAATGATCTTCACAGTACACATCATAACAGACCATATGTATGCATAGAAATGAAGAGAAAAATGGGATTTGACAAGTCACTTACCTTATAGAAACTCCTCTTATAATGAAATGAAAAGAGCAAACTTCCATTTACTAAGATTGTCCTTTTTTTTTTTTTTTTGAGACACAGTATTGCTCTGTCCCCCAGGCTGCAGGGCAGTGGCATGATCTCGGCTCACTGCAAGCTCCGCCTCCTGGGTTCACACCGTTCTCCTGCCTCAGCCTCCCGAGTAGCTGGGACTACAGGCACCCGCCACCATGTCTGGCTAATTTTTTGTATTTTATTAGAGACAGGGTTTCACCGTGTTAGCCAGGATGGTCTCAATCTCCTGACCTCGAGATCCACCCGCCTCGGCCTCCCAAACTGCTGGGATTACAGGCGTGAACAACCACGCCCAGTTTAAGATTATCAATTTAAATGAGGCTCTCCTTCCTATGGGGTGAATTGTAAGCTCAGAGGGGTAAGCAGGTTTATTGAATTATAAATGTCCCAAATAGTAGCACCTGAATTATTGCTACAATCTTCTTGGAAGTAAGAAATGTGGTCAAGGTCAGCTGTATCTCTTACTCCACGTCTCCTGGGTGCAGGAATTTATTTTCTCACTGGAGCTATGAAGCTGGTATGGAGAATGTAGCCCATGATCACGGTCTGAAAAAGCAAAAAGAGTCCTAACTTCATGGATGTCCTTGGGAGTGCAGCACACAGTCCCATGGCTTAGTAAGCTTTGTGGACATCGTTCCTGGAACAACCCTGGTGCCCTCCCATAAAGTGGTGTGGCCTGTGAACGGGGAGCTGTGTGGGGGATGAGGGGACAATCCTCCCTGCTGTGGAGAACTTTGTTTAAGCAGCACAGATGCAGAGTCTGCACTGAGCCTGTGTCCATCTCTTAGATCACTGCATGGTGGGCTGGGCTATGTTGTACTGTGCTCTTCTTTCCTTTTTTCTATTAGGCTATTTCCACCTCTGCACAACACACTCTGTATCACTAACATGCCTCGCTTTCATATGCCTGGTGTCTGAAGGTTCATTTCAGGTCTCTGTAAGCAGGAATCAGCCTACAACCCCATGATTAGAAGCTTTTATTTTCATAGCTAGTGAACCTTCTACACTATGATATTGTCTGTGCTGCAGCTTTTGGGCCTCTCACTGGACAAAAGAAATCCATGATATTATAGCATCAGGGGACTGTGTGGTGCCATGAATTCATGATGGAGTCTGCATAATAAAAAGAACTTAATTATCATAGGGTATTCTCAAAGGCTTTAAAAACTTTAAAACTTGAACAAGAGAATCTCTGAACTAAGAAAACACTCCTAATGTAGAAATATTATTTATGTTCCCCATCACTGGTGTTTCTCAATCTTGTCTGGAAGTCATGTCTTTCAAAATGTCTTTAGTGAGATCCTACAAAGACACTACCACAAAGTGCCTGAAAATAGGGCCTTCTAACACATGTGGGGCAGGCACCTTTCTTTGAAAAAGTGGTTACTGATGTATGAACTGGTGACTGGGTAATGGAGCATATGATGGGAAAGAAGAAAATGGATGAGAGTCCCTGGAGCTTGATGAGGTGCCTGAAGCCTGAAGCAGGTGCCCTGTGTAGGAATGGGGATAATAAGGCAAGTACTTTGCCTTTCACTCCCTGCATCTCCACTCATCCTCTGGTCCAAGGTTTCTTGTTGTTTATGTCCATCTGTGTTGGTATTTTTTTTTGTTCCTAAATAATATATTTTAAGAATATTTTTATTTGAAAATAATTTTAGTTTTACAGAAAGTTTCAAAGATAATGCAGTTTTACATAATCTACAGCTTTCTGAAATGTTAACAACTCATGTAACCAGAATGTATTTATGAAAACTCAGAAATTGACAGTGGTACAAAACTATTACCTGAAATACAGTTAATAGTTTTGAAGCATTAACTGAAAGACAGACTTTCTTAATATTTTGCCAGGTTTTCCACTGATGTCATTTTCTCTTCTAGAATCTAATTACATTTACTCTCAGGTATATTACCTACAGGTCGCTGTATAACATATAACTGAACAGCTTAGATGTTCAAACCCACACGTAACTATTACTTAACCTTTTCTCTGGATCAGATGACCCAGGCTGAGGTTTCAAGCGAAGCATCCCCTGAGGAAGGATCCCTTTCCCAGCTCATGTTAGTGTTGGTAGGATTCAATTTTTTTCTAGGTTGTGATGACTTCACTGGTGAATTATTCTAACCCCTTTGAAAATTAATAACAATCTTTATTAACTAATCTTTCAAGAAAAAAAAATAAAAACAGAGGAGTAGAGAACACTTCCCAATATGCCGCATGAAGCCCGTTTTCCCTGATAGCACAACTGGACAAAGAGATTTCAAGAAAGGAAAATTACAGACAAATATGCCCCATGAAACAGAGGCAAAAATTCTGAAGGAAATACTATCAAAATAAACCAGTAACCTAATAAAAATAGACATTATGAGCAAAGTCATTTGTCCCTGAAATATGTTTTGTTAAACATACAAAAACTATTACTGTAATACGCTATATTGTCAGAGTGAAGGACAAAAGCTTCATAATTATCTCTAAAGATACAGAATAAGCAGTTGAAAAATCCAAAACACATTCATGATAACAATGCCGAGCAAATTAGGCATAAAAGGAAATTTTCTTAAGTGATAAAAGGCATCTATGAAAAACTCACACAACAACACACCATATTATGAATGTTTCAGTAATTTCTTCAAAAAATTAGCAACAGGACAAGGATGTATGCTCTTGCTACTTTTATTAAGTATTGTATTGGAACATGTAGCCAGGGTAATTAGGCAAGAAACATAAATATAAGACTTCTAGAATGAAAAGGATGAAGTTAAGCTTTCTCTATTCATAAATGACATAATCCTATGTATAGAAAATCCTAAGGAAATTACTAAAAGAAGATTAGAAACAAAAAATGAGTTCAGTAACACTTTAGTATACTAGAGTAATAAAAATCAATTGCATTTCTATATATTGTCAATTAATCTAAAATAAAACATAGAAAACAATTCCATTTAAAATATTGTGAAAAAGAAACAGACATTTGGGGGCAAAGGGGACCAACCTAAGAAATATAAAAATAAGGAGAGATTCTTAGTTTAAATGTCAAAGTATCTGTACATAAATTCTCTTCTTTAGTTAGAAACATTCTTTCCCATGGGTGTATGAATTACCAATTCTAAAACTACTCTGCATGTATTTTGGACTCATTGATTATATAAAGGAGGCCAACTATCTCACTGTTAGCGTGGGAGGTTACATACAAGTAGTGGGAATGGGGAAACTGATTTATGTAGTCTTGAATTAGATCATGGGTGCTGGAAACATTAATAAGAATTCATGCTGAACTTTACATAGGAATAAATGGAGAAATGTTGTAGAAATGCATATACATATGTGAGTGTGAATTACATACATACATATAATCCTTTGTTCTGTCAGATGACAAAACATAGAATTAACAGACGCCTGGCAGAAATGACAACACCATTGCCGAGACCTTTGTTTCTAATGCCATTCACCAAAAAAGGAACTAGGAATTTGGGGGAAAATGGTAAATGGCATGGCTGGGAAGGGAATCAACACTATTAAGCTTAAGTACCTTGTAGAGCCAGAAAGTAAGAAAAAGTTAAACAACACAACCAAACAACACACCACACAAACCAAATCAAATAGCAATAATATGGGTATTTCAAAGTGGTAAAGCAGCTGACTGAAAGGCCTTCTAATGACCAGCACTAGCACAATTTGAACAATACAATAAACTAGTCTAATCACAGGGGAAATAAATATTTTTTATTTGCCAATATTCCATATAATATAAATAATTGACTAAATAAATGCTGGAGAAGAGATACATTGCCTATGATAATGAAATACAAACGATACTATACAAGTTCTGCCCTAAGGAGGTGAAGAATAATTCCCCAATATTAAGTATGCGCTGTGCATAGTGACGTTTTTTTCAAAAAGTACGACGTGGATAGGGGGAAAATTAATTTTACAGTGGAGAAACTGGACACACACTGCCTCATCCAGGTGCTCAAATTAGTATCAATAGTGATAAAAGCATTTTGAGAATATATGCCCATGGTATAATGAGTATTACACTCACTCCTGTCTCTTCTTCTTCCACATCTACAAATTCAGTCTAATTGTTAGTAAAAACAATCATAGAAATCCTAAATGGAGGATGTCAATGCCACGAAAAACATGGAAATTCAGAGAAACTGCAGAGACAAAAAAAGCTTAAGGAGACATGATATCTAAAGGTGTTATCCTGGAAGAGATCCTAGAACAGAAAACAAACAGTAATTAGGAAGAAAAGAAATCTGATTAATATGTGGATATCAGTGAATGAGAATGCATAATGTTGGTGTGTTAATTGTGACAAATACCCATGCTCATATAAGAGGTTAATAATGATGGAAACTCTGTGTTGGTTGCATATTAACTCTCCATGCTGACTATGCAACTGTTATGTAAGTCCAAAGCTAACGTAAAATAGAAAAGCTTTTTTTCTTTCTTTAAAAATTCACTGCTGACCTTAACAAACTGAATATTATCAATATTGTTGATGCTCTAAATGTGCAGCTCCCCAATTTCATGGCATTTTTTACCCCCATGAAGGTTACTATTATTTTCAGTTTCCTATTTGTCATTTCCTTTTTGTATTATTTTTATGTCTATGTTTATATTTCTAAATAATATATTCAGTTTTTATTGTCTTCAAATTAAGATAAAGGTGTTCAAAATAAGTCTATAATTCTATTCAAATAATGAGAAATCATCAGATGAATCCACATTGTGATGCTTCCTATAAAATACCTCACCAGTTCTTTTCTTAGCAGCTGAGAGTCTTCAAGATAAACGAAGACTGGGAAACTGTTGCACATCAGACAGGACCTGATGTGGCTGGTAGACCTTAAGATGGTGCCCAATGATCCCCACCTGCCAGGGTGCATGACCTTGTATTGTAATCCTCTCCCTGTGAGTATGGGCATGAAATGTGACTTGCTTTCACACAACACAATAATACAAGAATATTAGATGTCACACGACTGATCATGTTACGTAAAGTTGTGATTTTTTTTTTTTTTTTTGGTCTTGCTAGCAAGCTCTTTGCCTTGATGGCTTTGATAGAGCATTCTGCCACATGGGAGAAGTCAACATGGGAAGAAACTGAATGCAGCCTCTAGTCAACAGCCAGCAAGGAACTGAAGCTGCCCTACAGTTTGCAATTTAAAATTCTGGCTAATCCAAGCCCCCTTTCAAGTAACAATATATCACTTAAGATGTGGTGTGAACACCTTACAGTAACAGAATAACCCACATTCTTTCCTTCTATCACCTATTGCAGTTATTCATCTCACTTACATAAGAATAAATGCACATAAATGTTTGTATGTATACATATACACACACAATGATATATATTTAACCATATCTAATCAAATATATTCAAACTAATGTTTTTAACAAGCTGTTATTTGTTAGATTAATTAAGCATAAAATTATTACCTAGACTAGTCACTAAAAAGGTAAAAAAATAGAGATATGCTAAGAAATGAGATGAACTGATATAAAGTGCTCAAAACAACAAAAGGTAGAAAATGAGTGAAATACAAAAATAAGAACAAAGACAAATCAACAACTGAAAAATGGTAACAAATTTGGTAGATTTTTAATCCAACTATATCAATAATCACTTTAAATGTCAATGTTCTAAATGCACTACTTAAAGGACAGAATGCATCAATAAAAGGAAGCATGGGATAGAAAGAATAAATTCATGTAACACGTTACAATCTGAGAAACAAGAGAACATCATGAGGTTTGCAGGAGAATATCAAAGAACATTTAAGAAGTCACACAGACAGGCCGGGCATGGTGGCCAACACCTGTAATCCCGGCACCATGGGAGGCCGAGGAGGGCGGATCGCTTGAGGTTAGGAGTTCGAGACGAACCTGGCCAACTTGGGGAAACCCCATCTCTACTAAAAATACAAAAATTAGCTGGGCATGGTGGCACCTGCCTGTAATCCTGGCTACTCAGGAGGCTGAGGCAGGAAAATCGCTTGAACTCAGGAGGCAAAGGTTTCAGTGAGCTGAGATGGAGTCACTGCACTCCAGCCTGGGCTACGAGAGCAAACCTCCATCCCCAAAATAAAATAAAATAATAAAATAAAATAAAGACTAAAACTACCAGACAGCTTACAGGTAGGGGATTTTAAAGACACAGAGGGGAGGGGTAATACACAGTCATAAATTAATATATTGAGGTTACACATTGGTTTTAGA
The DNA here is from genome assembly GCF_000001405.40 of Homo sapiens. NCBI lineage: Eukaryota > Metazoa > Chordata > Mammalia > Primates > Hominidae > Homo > Homo sapiens. The sequence goes on along the minus strand of NC_000015.10, from coordinate 24,172,122 downwards.
CTAAAAGGATGAAGTATCTTGAAGTGGAAGCTTACAGGTCATAGGGGGATTCAGAGATTTTCTGATGTGTGATTATTTAAGAAAGTAAAATTTGTCAGAAAATTTGGGATCAGCAGAAAGTAATGGTACTTTTGGCTCATAGACGTAACATTCCATAGGCCACTCAGGAAGAAATTGAGAATAAAGAATGGCAGAGTTCATTTCATAGATCCCCTTTATCTGAGGTCTATGTGCCAGTGGATCCATTTAGTAGAGGGGCAGCTTTCTGAACAACAACTCAGGGACATATGCTAAGCTTTGATTTTTAGTTTCCATAGGGAACCCCATATTCCCATGACTCTCCATTCCTTGCTACTGTTTTACCTTCTTGCTTGTCCAGTGGCTCGTGTACTTCTCAGAGGTAGAGAGGTGCCTGGAATTTCTGTGAAGGGACTCAAGATTTTCCTTTATTTCCATGCTTGGGGTGGTACACAGGCCCCTATGAGGGGTCCCTGCACCTTCTCAGGCCCTAAATGAATCCTCATCTGCTTGTGGGACTCCTGAATTTCATCTACCATGTTCTTGCTTTTGTACTGCTTGCCGCTTTCAGGTAGGAAAACTCCTGTTCAACCTTGGCAGACAAATCTCATCTTCACTGGCCAAGACATTTGGATGACTATTCGTATATGAATTATGTCAAGAGTGCCAAAGTTCAGTATAAAATAATGCACATCAGTTGATCCACTATTATTTAATAGAAAGGTGGGTAAATTATTGACTATGTCAATGAAAATGGAGATATAAATAGTTGCCAGCAGAAAAGTATTTTTAAAATGTTAAGCTAAATGAGAAAAAATAATAAAATATTTTAACACCTTTCCTAAAAGTGATTGTTACAGATATATTTGCTGAATAGAGCAAAATTATGTGTACATTTTCTAAGTGGCATTTTAAAAATTTGTCACTGAGACTATTTATTACTGCCTCAATTTCAGAGCCATTCTTGGTCTGTTCAGGGATTCAGTTCCTCTCTGGTTCAGTCTTGGGAGGGTGTATTTGTGCAGGAATTCTTCATTCTTTCTAGATTTTCTAATTTATGTCCATGGAGGTGTTCATAATATTCTCTGATGGTTGTTTATATTTCTGTGGGGTCAGTGGTAATATCACCCTTGTTGTTTCTGATTGCATTTATTTGAATCTTCTCAACATCGCTCATTATTAGAGTAACGCAAATCAAAACCAAAATGAAATACCATCTAACACCAGTCAGAACGTATATATTAAAAAGTCAAAAAATAACAAATAACAAATAATCAAACAAATAACAGAGGCTGGCAAGATTGTGGAGAAAAAGGAACACTTATACAATGTTGGTGGGAGTGTAAATTAGGTTAACCATTGTGGAAGACAGTGTGATGATTCCTAAAAGACCTAATGACAGAACTTCCATTTGACCCAACAATCCCATTTCTAAGTATATATCCAAAGGAATATAAATCATTCTGTTATAAAGACACATGAACACATATGTCCACTGCAGCAATATACACAATAGCAAAAACATGGAATCAATCTAAATTGTCCATCAACGATAGACTGTATAAAGAAAATGTGGCACATATACACCATGGAATACAATGCAGCTATAAGGAACAACCAGATGATGTCCTTTGCAGGGACGTGAATGGAGCTGCAGTCCATTATTCTTAGCAAGCTAACACAGGAATAGAAAACCAAATATCTCCATGTTCTCTTATAAGTGGGAGCTAAATGATAAGAACACATGGACACATAGAGGGGAAGAACACACTCAGAGTTCCTGAAACCATTGGTCTGGTTTCCAATGAGTGGGGCAATCAGACACACAAGCACACCAAGGCTTAACCGCTCTGCTCACTGGAAGGGAAAGAAACTACCCAGGAATGCCACCTGCTTCCAACTAGCTGATCCCATGATTGAGGCTCTAGGGAATTTCTCTTTACCTGCTGAGATATTTCTGTCTTGGGGAACCTCCTTTCTCTTCTTGCCACTGCACCAGCTGCCAACTACACTTCCTTACCACAGGGCAAGTGACATCTGAAGAGGCTGACAGACTTCAGAGCTGGGTAAGGCAACCAGAATACCCCCTGAACTGCCTCTGCCTGTTCTGTGATGTCACCTGACCTCTGCTCTGTTTACATATAGCTGCTTGTGACATCATCTGGGCATGTATGGTATCTGTATCTACGTCAAGACCTGGGCTTTGCTCCACTTGGAGTCAGCTGATTGACAGGAGGGCATCTGAAATTGAGAGGAGATTTCAGGACGTTTACCCAGCCCTTTAGTGGGGATCTGTCCGGGACTGTGCAGTCTGAACCTGCAACTGTAAAAGGTACAATATCTACATTTAGGCCCTCATCTCTGTCTCTCTCTCCTCCTCCTCCTTTCCTCTGCAGGGTGATCTGCATAAGCCCCACTCCATCCAGGATCCGGCCCTGGAGGGAAACAGCCTCCACTGCCCTAGCAGGGTCACTCTTTTTAGGGCCCTGGAGTACTTCTCACAGCTGTGCCAGTTTTTATGGGGAAAGGAAGGATGTGAACAATTCCATAGGTTATCTAAAGGGCTTGCCACCATGCTTATGGTGCTTAATGTTGTTTATGTGAAAAAAAGCTTAACAGCATATGGGATAAGTATTTAGGCAGTCCTGACTCCAACCCCTCTGCCCTTTTTATCTGCCTAATTTACCATTTAATTTGTTGCCATTCGGTTACCATCTACTAGGGTACTAAGGACAGCAGAACATGGACTTGGGATGAAGTTGATGTGCTGGTGGGCCGGGGCAGGGGGTGGAGCGGGGGCAGGGTGGTGGTGGGGGAGTGCTGTGCTAGCTGGTGCTAATCACTAGCCTGCCCAACTAGTTTATTCTCTGGTCTCTTTGGCTGTCCCAGCTGTGTGGTGAGATTTCCACAAGTCTTCCTTTTAGGACCATGAGTGGTATTAATTGCACTGCTTATATGAAGCTAGAAACGTCTTTCCAACCCATAGAGGTCTGGTTGAAGGATATGAGCAGTGCAGAACAGAAGAGAGACAACAAATAAAAGTTGTCATCACTGTTTCACAGGGATGAGCAGTATGGACATAGAAACCACGTCAGGAGGGGAAACAAGGTCTCTATCACCTCTGGGAGGCCCCTGGGGCATACCCTAGCTAACTGTAGAGCCTATAGCTATCAGCCCATGACTAACAGAAAAATGGTCTATTATTGCAGTGCTGTTTGGACTGTGGACAAGTTAGGTTATAAATTTTGACCTCTGAATGGACGCAACCAATATTAGCCTTTAATGCAGTTAGACTCATTTTGTCAGAGGTCTGGAAAATTAGGAAAAACTACCATATGTCCAAGCCTTCATGCTTTTCGAAAATCAGGATTCATACCATGAGGGAAGATGCCAGCTGCTAGCTATACCAAAGGACAGAATGGAAAAAAGGCTCTTCACAAGCCAGAGAGCCAAACTCAGGCAGAAAGCAATGAAGAAGAATTAGGACTTTTAAATGTCCTACACCCAAGCTGTTTTAGCAGCTCCAACCACCACAGCCAGAACGCACCTGGCCTCTGCTCCACCTCAACAGCTCCCACTGCAGTACCACCATACGGGGCCCTTAGCACTGGCCTCTGCGTTGGACCGGATTGCCTTGATGCTACCAAGTGAGGCATCAGACCAATAAGAGGGAGCTACTCTGCCGCCTCAGTATAATGAGAGAACAGAGACGGCCTCTCCCTCCAGTGCTTGACAGGGAACATGATTTAGCAAGGAATTGCCATGGCCGGAGCAAAGGAATTACCGTTTACAGGGATGGCCATGGGTGGCTTGGATGAGAGTGGGCAACCTGTCAGACATTACTGGACATCCAGCCCATTTTCAACATCTAACTTGTGAAATGGAAAAACTCCACCCCACTTTATACAATGGATCCCCAGAAAATGACTGATCTCTATGTGTCTATCTGTGCTACCCACCAGCGTACCTGAGCAGATGTGTAGTCTCTCCTAAATATGTTTCTGACTGCAGACCAAAGAAGGTCCAGAGTCTTGGTGCCTCCATGAAACAAATCCAAATACCCCAAACCTGAAGGGACCATTCTGGATGCAAACCCTAATTGGGGCTCCAATTGATAAGGGGACATGGCCCATCTGGAATATTCACAAACATTCTTCCTGTTTGGACTCAGGAAAGGGGTACCAAAACAGGAAGCCTCACTAGGAATGACCCCTTCCCCGCTCCAGAGACAAAGAAACAGAAGTTTCAACCATAAACGTGGAATGAACAAGGAAGCCTCTGCATCAGAAAAATCGAGGCAAGCCTCTGGAACACAGCCAGTGTGCCTAGTGTAAGGAGAAAGGCCACTGAAAGGATGACTGTCCCAAAAGAAAGGACCAAGGGGCCAGAAAAAGGAGGAATATGATGAGGAAAAAGCTCAAAGTCAAATCATGGAGCAGGGTCACTGCTCTGACCACAGAGAGTGATGCCTGGGGACTCTCCTTAATCACTCAGAGACAATTAAAATTTCCCCACAGGAACCCTGGGTACAACTGACAGTGAGGAAAAAGTTAATTGATTTCCTGGTTGATACTGGGCAAACTATTCAGTTTTAACACTTTATGAGCAAAAAGCACCAAAATGATTGTACCTGTGATAGGAGTTGCAAGAATAATGCAACAAAAGGCTTTCCTACAACCTTTAGAATGCAAACTAGAAAGTTTGGACCTAAGGCACTGCTATTTCTATATGTAAGAATGCCCAATTCCCTTGCTGGGAAAAGACCCATTATGCAAATTAAATACTCAAGTAATTTATCCCCAGAGAAACAACTATGGCTGCAGGTCCTGCTAAAGCAAGCACTGCAACTAAGATGTTACTCACTTGCCTTAAGAAGAAACAAGAATTCTCCCTCAGAAGTCTATGAGAGAGTGCGTAATTGTGAATAGGCAGAAGGAATCCCAGGAAAAACAAGAAATATACAGTGAGTGCATATAGAAAAAATAGAAGGGGCTACTGTGACCTGGGCGGCGGGGAGGAGGCGAATAAAAAAATCAGTATACATTAAGAAAGGAAGCCTTAGAAGGAATACAGCCTGTCTTTCAAAAATTTGAGAAGTGGACTGATTCATCCTTGCAGATCCCCATATAATAGCCCTATCGTGCCTGTAAGGAAGCTACACTTCTACAAATATCAATTTGCCCAAGACCTGAGAACCGTTAATAAAATAGTCTTGGATATTCACCCAGTGGTGCCTAACCCAGATACTCTACTGACTGCTATATATAGACATTATGAATGCTTTTCAGTGCTAGATCTGAAAGATGTTTTCTTCTGCATTCCAATTGAAGAAAAGACCCAACAATTATCATTATTATTTTTAATGACAGGACCGAGAGACTAAAACAACCTTTCAATACTGTTAGACAGTGGGGTCTCAATGTGTTAAAAAATGCACCAACAATTTTTGGGGAAATACTGGCAAAAGACTTAGGAGACCTACAACAAGATTAAGAAGCCTGGCTACAACACATAGATAATTAATAGCCAGCCACAACTATAGGAAATGCTTAGCTGATGTCATTTTAGTTCTAAATCACCTGGTACAATATGGATACAAAGTATTCCCAAGAAGCCCCAAATATGTAAGTAGAAAGTAACCTGTCTTGGCTTTAGGTTAAAGCAAGGCCAAAGGAGCCTGGTCTGGTAAAAAAAAAAAACAAAAAACAGGCAATAGCAGCCATAAAGCTCCAGAGAATGGGGGCAACCATGGGGATTCTTAGAAAGGGTTAGCTTCTGCCAGATTTGATTCCTAAGTTTGGACTAATGACTAAAACACTTTATGAATCCTTAAAGGATTCACTAGACTCAGAGGCCCTTCTCTGGACATCTAAAGGTCAACAAACATTTTATACCATCAAAGAAAAGCTGATATCACCCCCTGCACTGGGATACCAAATTCCCAAAAGCTGTTCAAACTCTATATCCAAGAGAAACAAAGCATAGGTGTGGGTTGTGCTAATGCAAATGCTGGGAGATGCCCCACAATCCATGGCCTATTTCTCTAAACAATTACACCAAAGATTAAGGGATGGCTCCCCTTCCTCTGGGCAAGAGCACCCACTGTGAAGTCCTACAGGAAGTAGAACAATTTACTCTGGGACAGCCAGTTACCTTGTTTGTACCCCATCAGGTGCTGACTCTGCTAGAACAAACGGGAGGCTACTGGCTCACTGTGGGGTGAGTGGGCAGATACCAGGCCATCCTCTTATATGATCCAAATATCACCCTACAAACCACCATGGCTCTAAACCCTGCCACACTGCTCTCAGCCACTGAACACAATCCTGGGTTAAAGCATGACTGTAAATCCTTGATGCAGCTTATTCAAGCATGCTGAACCTGTCAAACTAGACAATGAGTGCTCTGGACTTGAACTACACTGATGGGAGCAGCTTAATGAAAGATGTGCACAGAGCCGGATGTGCCACTGTGACTACCAAAAGGGTAATAGTAGTCCATACCCTTCCTGCAGCTACCTCCGCACAAAGAGCTGAGTTAATTGCTCTTACCTGAGTCTTTAGAACTGTCCCAGGAAATGGGAGTAAAGATTTATTCTGATTCCATATATGCATTCCTGGAAATGCACGCCAATTGGGTGATCTGGAAACATAGAGGAGGTTGCTTGAAATCAGAAAATACAGACATTAAACACCCAAGAGAAATTCTGGACCTAGTAAAGGCAATTGCCTTGCCTGCCCAGGCTTCCATCATGCACTTCCCCAACACCAGAGACATAATTCACAACCGAAGGTAACCAGGCAGCTGGCAAAGCTGCAAAATGAGCTGCTTGGGAGGCACAGGTCCTGGGACATGAATACTCCATTTGGAATTACTAGATTTTAAACCTCATTACACTGAACAAGATCCCAAACGTGCCCAAGCCAGGGGTTTGAGAAAAGAGATTCCAATTCCCCTAGAAAACTGACACCTATAAGATAACGCCTACAGGATGATGAAACCCCAAGGCCTTGGTTTATCCAATCTCAAAACATCTACATAAAGGAATGCACTATGGGAGTGATGTCCTCGCCAACCTAGTACAACCACACCTCAGTAGACCACACTTTCAAAACATCACTCGGAAAATTACACAGGGATGCATCTTGTGCACTACAAACAAACAATCCCAAGATGGAATGTAGTCCTCCTAAAAAGGAGATATAGTACAAAGAGCTGAGTCCCTTCAAAGACTGAAAGGCGGGCTTCACTCAGATGCCTACCTGGTTATGTGCGCCAAGGAAAGATCTGAAGTTATTAATAAAAGAAAAAGAAGGAGATATAAGCAATATACTTTTGTTAACATGAAGTTCTCAATTAGTTCTAGAGTAATAAGTACATACTTGATCTTTGCTGAAACTACACGAATGGGTGTAGACAGTGGTTTTCCTCCAAAACAAAACAGACTGCTGGGTCTGTGGGGGAGATACCCCTTTCTCCACTGCTGACTTGCCATGGCACATCCAAGCTACCACCTCGAGCACTTGGAGTTATGTTTATACATAGGACAAGAGTAAAAATTCTCACCCATTTCCCATCTATGATTACAGTACCACTCACCATGAGTGCTCCACTTTTGGAGAAACCTGGAAACATTTCTTCCATGTGGCTTGTAAGCAGGTTAATATCACCCCCTCTATAGACTATGCTGTACATGACAACATAGGATGGCTGATGATGGTGCAAATTCAGGCAATGGGTCAGGCACCTCTACGCATCCAAAAACACAAGAGCAACACACCCCACACTAGCAGCCAGGCTAAGGGATGGTTACCTCTTAGTAATGTGGCCAAACCCATCAACTGAATAATAATATGTGGCTAGGATGGCAAAATAGTATCAAGCTACATGATGGGGCCTATCCTTTCTCCTGGAGTTAGCTATGGGTGTGAGGCAGTCATAGCTGGTCTTACTTACCTTACAGCTGGATTGGCAGGTACACCTGGGGGTGCCCTTACCTACCAGGACACATCCTGTCCCATCTGGACTCTCTCCCTGACCACTGGGAAAATGTGAAAGACAGACAACACCATCAAAAATGGGCACCCTGTTGGTTCTACTCACTAGCTGCCTTTTCCTCGCAGACAGCAAACATAGATGTAGAATTATAAGTAGAGACCTTAAGTATAGAGCTGCTGCCTGTAATAACACCTAACCCAACATTACCCTTCCCACTGAAAGAACTCGTAGATTAGACAAGTGACCCTGTAGAACCCTATGGCCTTAGATATCCTAACTGCAGCCCAGTGTGACACCAGTGCATTAAGACTGAATGGTGCGTATATACACCAGATTACTCTCACGATATAATCCAAGGTATGCATGCACTGAATACTCATATTTCTGCTATAAATGTCCTCTCCCAGGATCCCACAATGTCATGGTTTAGTCGACTTCCATGTCCATGGAAGACTCTCATATATGGTATAATTGGTATTCTGCTCCCCGTTCTGTTTGGTTGCTGTAGTTTTTGTTGCTTTTCAAGATCTGTATGGAGATGCAGGAAAAACTTTCCCAGAAACTTTTGGGTCCCCACACTATAATGCTCCAAAACATTCTCACATTATTCTGGGAACCCACGAATATTTCCAACTCCAGGTAAACAGATTCCAATCTGATACCCTCTAACTGTGCCCCTTCTCAGCAGGAAGAAACTAGATGGACTGTGTTGCCCACGTTCCTTGGAAATGCTATGGTCTTTTATGGTGCAGGATTGTAATTGAGTCATGTTGCTTCAAAATACACTTAAGTTTTTCCTTTCTCTTTTTTTTCCTTCCTCCCAGTCTCAGGATGTAACCTTGAAGCAAACTGCAGAAACCATTGCCTCAGTCTTCAAGTAGAACCTTGAAATATACTTTGGAACCACACCCCATTCAGTTTCCCACTGTACATGTCCATGCCTTATACACATTTATCTAACTGTATGCTGGCGAAACTCACACAATGCATAATTATCTAACTATATGCCTGTCAAAAAATACCAGAGGCTAATTTAAAATGAATCAAACATACAGGCCCAGCTGTGGTATTGTCTCTCTCTTAAAGATTGCCTCTGGATGGATACCTATGGTCTGGCACTATCAAGATGGTATCAGTCTGTGGCTCCAGGTGGACCATAACTCAAGATACACATGGGAGTAAGACACAGACTCCCTGAATCTGCACACCTCCTGCATGCCTCCCATGTTATGCATTATGCTTCCCTTTCTTTAAAAACCTGCCCTCAGTCCAACCTTGTGAACTGGTTTATACAGGTGTCATCCAGCCATTTCCCTACTGCTGGATTTGAAAAATAAAGTCACTTTCCTTTCACCCTGCAAGTCCTCCTTGTCATTGCTTTTGAATGCATAGAACAGCCGGACCTGCACTCAGTTACATGTGTATCATAAGAGGAATGGAATATGGCACTTTTCTCCTTGACTGGCAATGACTACTTGGAAAAAGGGGTACCTCATCTTCTGTATTACAGTATATTATTGAAGAAATAGACTTCTACTTTCACATAAGCTGACCAACTGCATTTACCCTCTAGCTAGCAGTGGAGGCAAAAACAACTCAATCTTGAAAGCTAATTCATCATGTTGACTTCTGATTAACCCCCGTTTGGAGACTGCCTCTAAGCTTTTGGTATAAATATTTTTTTCCTTTATATGCAAACTAGGGGATAAGATTTCTATTGTGTCTACTGTTCCTTGTGAAAATCATTATTTTTCTGTAAATCCTGCCCTTAGGTCAGAACCACCATGACTATAAATCCTGTGCTTAGATTCACATGGCATTTCTGCCTTTCCCTGACAGGTAGACTTCAGTTTTCCTACACATTCCTTCCCCATGGTATATAAGTCCTATGTGAGACTCAAATATCTGTTCATAAATCCCTACTAAATGTTTCTTTCTAAGGGACTGGTTATATCAGCCTCTATCTTCAGCTGTTCAGCTTCCTCATATTTTGGTGGTAGGTTTACAAAGACCTGCCCTCCATGGAATGCTAATTATTAAAAATGGAGAGCTTTTAGTGGAGTAATGAAATCCCTATTTTGCGTATGTAGAAATAATTTTAAAAATGATGGTCCTAGAAATCTGTTGAGGAGGAAGTAGAATTGTAATGAGTTACATGAATGTTTCCCTGACAGAGATTTAAGGCTTCAGGAAGACTGAATAAAGTGAACATGAAATCATGGTCTCAATTGTACGAGCCACCCATCCATTAAACTCTAACTTCCAATCAGTCTAAAGTGTGGATGGAGAAAGAGTGTTATGTACTTGCCTTGTGAAGAGGTCTAAGAATTCGGCTTGTTTGCAATGATTCAGGACAGCCACTCTGAAACCTGGTAGCTTAGTATATTATGGGAAATCATAATTTTTGTGCTGTCAGAGAGGTTGTTTGGGAACTTGGAGCACAACATGATGTCATCTGTGCCTGTGACTTCAGTTAGCACAGCTTTCAGTTTAGTGCCTGTTTTCTTTTAAACCTCATCTCTCCAGTCTCCATCTCCCTGATATGCCACATTGAGATGGGTTACACCTTGAATGCATTTACTTATGTCTATATTATGGTTTGCCATTCTAGCTTTTTTTTTTTTACTTGCTTCCTTGTTTGGTGAAGGACAATCTTCACACTCTTCATCATGATAGATTAGAAAACATACATTGAAATGAAGAACAAAAGGGATTTGACAAGTCACCTAAGTATGATAGTATCTCCAGTTCAAATGAAATAAATGGAAACACTCACCATGTTTTAAAATGGGAACCTTAAATGAAGCTGTCATGTCTCAAGTAATAAAGTATGAGCTTAAAGAAGTTAGTTTTCTTGAATTACAAATGCTCAATTAACACCACCTAAGTAACAGTTATCCTCATCTAAGAATGAGAAATGACATCCATGAAGCTGAATGTGTCTTCCAATTTTCTAGGTCACAAGAGCTCATTTTCTCACTGTCACTATTACTGTGGTGTAGACAATAGTCCCCATGTTTATAGACCAAAAAACAAGTCATTATACATGGCCATGGGTGTGCAGAATGAAGTCTGATGTCTTTGTGGGTTTTTAGGCATGGTCCCTGGAAACAACCCTGGTGCTGTCCAGCAGCGTGTTGAACAGGAAGTTGTGTGTGGGGTGAGTGGAGAGTCCTTCCTGCTGTGGGATTCTTTGTTTAGCCAGCACATATGTAGAATCACCACTCAGCCTGTGTATATCTCTTAGATCACTGCTGGAGGGTTGGGGATATGTTGTATTTTCTTCCTTCCTTTCCTTCCTTCCCTCTTTCCTTCTTTCCCTGTTTCCTCTCTTTCTCTCTCTCTTTTTGTCTCTCTTTCTTTCTCTCTCTCTCGATCTCTCTCTCTCTCTTTCTTTCTTGGGTCTGACTTTATTGATCAGGCTGCAGTGCAGTCACACAATCATGGCTCACTGCAGCCTTGACCTCTTGGGCTCAATCCATCCACCTGCCTCAGCCTCCTGAGTAGCTGGGACCACAGGTGTGTGCCATTATACTGAGCTAAATTTCCTATTCTTTTTTTTGTAGAGACACAGTTTCTCCATGTTGCCCAGGCTGGTCTTGAACTCCTGGACTCAAGCAGTCCACCCACTCTGGCCTCCCAATATGCTGGCATTACAGGCATGAGCCACCACACCTGGCCTGTTGATTAGCCTGCATCAGGTTTTCCATGCCTGTGCAAAACCTATTTTGAATCTCAGCTGCCAAAAATCTGGTGTGAAAAGATTTTTTTGTCCAGGTCCAGATAGGTAGAAACTGCCAAAACCACCAACCATCATATATACATATATATGTATGTTGTATTCCACCCACCTGCTGTCATGATGATGCCCATTTGGTGACTTTGGGATTGCTGATATAATTCTGTTACTCAACAGAATACAAGGTTCCATAAAATTCCTGATGGAGAACGTGGAGTGAAAAGAAATTATCACAGAATTCCAACAGGGCTTGACGGCAGAATTATCTTTAGAAAACTAAGCCTGTATTAATAAAAAATCATAATATGAAAATATAACTTACATTTCTTGTCACTAACATTCCTCAATCTTGGTCTTTGGCATCCAGAAACTTTGTCTGCCAAAATATGTTCAGTGGGAACCCGTAGATATGTTCCTAAATGATATCTGAAAATGGGCCTTTCTGGGGTATGCGAGGCATAGGCAAATATCTCTGAAAAGAGAGAGGTTACTGACACTCAAACGAGTTACTTGGTAATAAAGAGTGTGATGGGGAGGTCAAATGTGGACAAGAGTTCCTTGAGTTTGATGCTGGCTTCCTGAAGTAGATGGATGTATGTATGGAAGGTAAATAAATGCGGAAATCTGCTTGGCAATTTTTTTCCTATATGTCCATTCATCTCCTGAGGCCAATTTTTTTTTTGAATCATGATCTCACTCTGTTTCCCAAGCTGGAGTGCAGTGACACAATCATGGCTCACTTCAGCCTGGAACTCCTGGGCTCAAGCAATCCTCCCAAGTCAGCCTCCCCGGAAGCTGGGATAACATATGCATGCCTGTCTTTTTTAATTAAAAATAAACAATCAAAGATTTCATTTTAAAATAACTTTGATATACATAAAGATGCAAACATAGTACAGCTAGTTTTACATACCCAGGAGTTTACTAGAATGTTAACATCTTATTCATATACCCATAGTGTATTTATGAAAACTAATAAATTTATAGTGGTATAAAACTATTAACTGAACTACAGACTTTCTTCTGAGTTTACCAGGTTTTCTAGTAATGCCATTTTTCTGTTCCAGAATCTAATCCAGGGTAGTAGTATAAATTAAAGGTACTATCTTTTGTATTAGTTATCAGTTGCTGCACAACAAATTGCCACATAGTGCGGTGGCTCACAACCACACATACATTACTTACAGTTGCTCTGGGTCAGGAATCCAGATGTAGATGATGTCCAAGGCTGAGGTCTCAACTGAAGGCTCATCCAGAGAAGGATCCCCTCAAAGTTCATGTGATAGTTGTTAAGATTCCATTTCCTACCCTGGACTGATCACGGTGGGTCAAACTTGTAATACCAATGCTTTGGTAGGTTGAGGCAGGAGGATTACTTGAGGCTAGGGGTTCAGGACCAGCTTGGGCAACATAGTGAGAACCTGTTTCTACCAAAATAAAAAGAAAAGAAAACAAGAAAAAAGATTAGCCAGACATGGTGGCATGTGCCTGTGGCCCCAGCTACTCAAGTGGCTGAGGCAAAAGGATTGCTTGACCCCAGGAGTTCAAGTCTGCAATGAGCTACATTCATGCTACTGTGCTCAATCCTGGATGGAGTGAGACCCTGTCTCTGAAAAAAAAAAAAAATTCCTGACTTGGTCAAGAAGACATCACCAGTGAATGATTTTACATCTTCAAATAATTAATACCAATTTATCATATATTTTTCAACAAATAAACAGTAAACCCCAAGCCTGTGGCATCTAGCAGTGAAATGAGGAGCAAGCAACCCAGCCAAGGATTTTGAGATAATGTGTTCTTGTCCCTCCATCCATCAGCCATCAGCACCTGCATTTCAAATTCCAGTTCCCAGAGAGGGAGGAAACTGGTGGCAGCCACATGTGCAGCACAGCAGTGTCGGCTCCAGCAACAGCCCAGTTCCCAGGGTGTGCCTCTGGCTTCATGGAAGTCACCTGCTGCACTGGTTTGCCAACTGTTTGTTTTTCTAAGTCCTCATCTGGGAATAGGTAACAACTTTAATAGTAATATTTAAATCCTTGTTTTGTTCAATTTTTAAGTTTTTAGAAACTCTGATTTTCTATTTTTTATAGATATTTATGAAGGCTCACAAAATGTGTCACATCAAATGTCTACAGGTTAGGTCTCCTAAGCATACAAACTAAATTGGCCTTAATGAAATACCAGAATTTAAATCTTGTATTTCTTCTAATTAATGAGCACCTGTTTGTCAACCCATATTTTCATCTTTCTCTATACTTGTAGGTAGTGTATTTAAAGAAAGAAATATGCAAAATAGTGAAAATCATATTAAAAAGAGTAATTTATCATCCACCTTTCTCTCTCCCTTTCTAGTGTATTGTAAATCTCCATCTATGTAGCCCAATCACATCTCTTTACTACTCTCATTTGGTTTTATTCACTTATACAATATAATTGTTTGCAAAGTCTGAAAATTAGCTTGAAAAAGTGTACTTTTTTCTCCTTTTTATGTGTTCAATTCTATTTGTGCTAAATAAATTTAGACCTTTCACATAAAAAACAGTAAGAACAACAGTGAAGAATGGATCAATTTCCAATGTGAATTATCAGCCTTATACCATAGATAGACAAAATTACTGAAGAAAAACTATGATCAATATGACTTATGAACATAAACACAAAAATTAAAGGAAATACTATCAAAGCAAATAACAGACATGTAAAAATTCATAAATTTTGACGAAGGTATACATCTTACAAAGGCAAATTTGGTTCAACATACGAAAAGAATTAGTGCCATAAACTATATTAAGAGACAAGGGACACAATACACATGGCCATCTTAAAAGATGAGCAATAAGCACCTGCTAAAGTGAAATGTCATTCATTATAAAAACATGCAACAAGTTAGGCAAATAAGAAAAATTTCCTCATCATGAAAGCACAGAAAACCTCACATGACATCCTAAATGTTCTGAGAAGCTCAAACACTTTCTTGTAAAATTAGAAACAAGAGAAGGATATCACTTTCACAGTTTTATTCACCACTGTATTGGAGGATGTGGCCAAGGTAATTGGTGTAGAAAATAAATATAAAAAAGTCAGAGAAGTAGGCTTCAGAAGATCAAACTACTCCGAGCTAAAGGAGGAAGTTCGAACCAATGGCAAAGAAGTTAAAAACTTTGAAAAAAAATTAGAGGAATGGATAACTAGAATAACCAATGCAGAGAAGTCCTTAAAGGACCTGATGGAGCTGAAAACCATGGCATGAGAACTATGTGACGAATGCACAAGCCTCAGTAACTGATGTGATCAACTGGAAGAAAGGGTATCAGTGATGGAAGATGAAATGAATGAAATGAAGCTTGAAGAGAAGTTCAGAGAAAAAAGAATAAAAAGAAATGAACAAAGCCTCCAAGAAATATGAGACTGTGTGAAAAGACCAAATCTACGTCTAATTGGTGTACCTGAAAGTGATGGGGAGAATGGAACCAAGTTGGAAAACACTCTGCAGGATATTATCCAGGAGAACTTCCCCAATCTAGCAAGGCAGGCCAACATTCAAACTCAGGAAATAGAGAGAACGCCACAAAGACACTCCTCAAGAAGAGCAACTCCATGACACATAATTGTCAGATTCACCGAAGTTGAAATGAAGGCAAAAATGTTAAGGGCAGCCAGAGAGAAAGGTCGGGTTACCTACAAAAGGAAGCCCATCAGACTAACAGCTGATCTCTCGGCAGAAACTCTACAAGCCAGAAGAGAGTGGGGGCCAATATTCAACATTCTTAAAGAAAACAATTTTCAACCCAGAATTTCATATCCAGCCAAACTAAGCTTCATAAGTGAAGGAGAAATAAAATACTTTACAGACAAGCAAATGCTGAGAGATTTTCTCACCACCAGGCCTGCCCTAAAAGAGCTCCTGAAGGAAGCACTAAACATGGAAAGGAACAACCGGTACCAGCCACTGCAAAAACATGCCAAATTGTAAAGGCCATCAAGGCTGGGAAGAAACTGCATCAACTAACGAGCAAAATAAGGAGCTAACATCATAATGACAGGATCAAATTCACACATAACAATACTAATCTTAAATGTAAATGGGATAAATGCTCCAATTAAAAGACAGACTGGCAAATTGGATAAAGAGTCAAGACCCATCAGTGTGCTATATTCAGGAAATCCATCTCATGTGCAGATACACACATAGGCTCAAAATAAAGGGATGGAGGAAGATCTGCCAAGCAAATGGAAAACAAAAAAAGGCAGGAGTTGCAATCCTAATCCTAGTCTCGGATAAAACAGACTTTAAACCAACAAAGATCAAAAGAGACAAAGAAGGCCACTACATAATGGTAAAGGGATCAATTCAACAAGAAGAACTAACTATCCTAAATATATATGCACCCAATACAGGAGCACCCAGACTCACAAAGCAAGTCCTTAGTGACTTACAAAGAGACTTAGACTCCCACACAATAATAATGGGAGACTCTAACACCCCACTGTCAACATTAGACAGATCCACGAGACAGAAAGTTAACAAGGATATCCAGGAATTGAACTCAGCTCTGCACCAAGCAGACATAATAGACATCTACAGAACTCTCCACCCCAAATCAACAGAATATACATTCTTTTCAGCACCACACCACACCTATTCTAAAACTGACCACATACTTGGAAGTAAAGCACTCCTCAGGAAATGTAAAAGAACAGAAATTATAACAAAATGTCTCTCAGACCACAGTGCAATCAAACTAGAACTCAGGATTAAGAAACTCACTCAAAACCGCTCAACTACAAGGAAACTCAACAACCTGCTCCTGAATGACTACTGGGTACATAACAAAATGAAGGCAGAAATACAGATGTTCTTTGAAACCAACGAGAACAAAGACACAATATACCAGAATCTCTGGGACACATTCAAAGCAGTGTGTAGAGGGAACTTTATAGCACTAAATGCCCACAAGAGAAAGCAGGAAAGATCCAAAATTGACACCCTAACATCACAATTAAAAGAACTAGAAAAGCAAGAGCAAACACATTCAAAAGCTATCAGAAGGCAAGAAATAACTAAAATCAGAGCAGAACTGAAGGAAATAGAGACACAAAAAAACCTTCAAAAAATTAATGAATCCAGGAGCTGGTTTTTTGAAAGGATCAACAAAATTGATAGACCGCTAGCAAGACTAATAAAGAAGAAAAGAGAGAAGAATCAAATAGATGCAATAAAAAATAATAAAGGGGATATCACCACCGATCCCACAGAAATACAAACTACCATCAGAGAATACTACAAACACCTCTACGCAAATAAACTAGAAAATCTAGAAGAAATGGATAAATTCCTCGACACATACACCCTCCTAAGACTAAACCAGGAAGAAGTTGAATCTCTGAATAGACCAATAACAGGCTCTGAAATTGTGGCAATAATCAATAGCTTACCAACCAAAAAGAGTCCAGGACCAGATGGATTCACAGCCGAATTCTACCAGAGGTACAAGGAGTAACTGGTACCATTCCTTCTGAAAAAAGGAGGTTTGTTTTAAAATTTGGGGGTCAGGAGAAAAAAATGTTAGCTCTTTGGCTAATGGATTTGCCTCCCTCTAGGCCCCTCAGAAGAAATTTAGTACAAAGAATGGCAGTCAGAATTCAGTTTTCAGGCCCCCCTTATCTGAGGTGTACTTGTCAGCAGATGCCTTTGGTGGGGGTCTAGGTTTATGAAAAATGACTCAGGAATGCATGTTAAGATGTGATCTTTGGAACAAAACAAACATCTTCTGACTGTAACTTCCTTGGCGATTGTTTAGGCTACTATTACCTTCTTGCTTATCAAGTTCCTCATTTCTTTCTCAGTGCTAGCTAGGTACAAGGGATTTCCCTTGAAGGGACTCATGATTTTCCTTTATTTCCCTGCTTGGGGAAGCTACAGGCCCCTAACAAAGGGTCCCTGCTCCATCACAGGATCTTACCCACTCTGTCTACCGACTCACATTTCAGACCTTTCTGGTGAAACCTCACAAACCAGAAGTAAAGCTTTGCCAGTGTTCTAGGTATTCCTTAATACAGTTAGTTGACTCCTAAAACTAAACATCACATTGGGTTTTGGAGTGTCACCCAAGCAGGTTTCTCATGAGGAGTTCAAATTGCTGGGTTAAGGTGAAGCAACCATGATTTCCATAGAGTCAAACTGTGACTGAGAGGTGGTTACTGCCGAATATCTGTGCAGTTCCCACAGGGGACAGTGAGATGAGATAAAGGTGGTATTCAGCTGTCTTATATGGACAGCTTATATGGACAGCTTATAAAACCTTGAGCAGGTTTTATAAGGGGCTATGTTCAATGACCACCTTGAGGAACATGGAGGAGGCCACAAACTGGAAAATGTCATGGATTTCTAAACCCTATTTCTGGTATGAGAATGTCAAAACTATGTAGAAAATGAATGCCCAGGTTACATCAAATTAAAACAATTCACAGCAACATTTAAAATAGGAATTCTAGTAGCCCAATAATAACTCTCTCTCTAATCCTGAGGTAGCAGGTAAATCTAGTTGTTCAACTAATTTGAAACTATAGTTAAGCATGTTTTTGCAGTAATAGACCAGAATATATATGATGAGCCAACAAAATTTTATACTGAGAAGGGGGCAGTCACAGAGAAAAAATAGTGTGTTCCATTCATTTTATAAGGCATATTTTTACATCTTCCAAATAGAGATGGATCATAATATTCTGAAAAGACTATTGGTTAGAAGACAGTCATAATGTGATCAACTTTCTGTGCACACACGTGAACTTGATGTAAAAAACTTCCATTTTCACATTCTGGTGGTATCTTTAACATCATAATTTGGAGAGGGACGTTAGTAGATGAGAAACAATCTAACATAAACTCTTATAGTTCTCTCACTACAAATATGGCATCTGCAAAGCTCCTAATTAGCAGAGATGATGCTAATGTAGGAAGAATCCATGGACAAGGTGAGACGCACAGTGATTTAGAAGAGTTTTATCCAAATATGAGAAATTTTAGAAAACCTTGATTACCTATTTTGCTTTTACTTTCTATCTCATATGATCATAGGAGTGATAAAACATAAATACACACATTTATATTCAAAAGTGTAAAAAGTAAAGTAGAGATTCCTCTTCAAAGACTTTCCTCCCCATCTCATTAGGAATACATAGTAACTTCTCTTAGAAGCAAAATTTATTCAAAGACCTGTGCTAACATTCTTAAATATCTGCTAGCCGTAATAAAGAAATGAATGTACTTTATGTTCTTAGTTCCCACAATTTAGCCTAAATATTTCCCCTGGCATGCTTATACTGGTCCAAGCAAGCATTAGGTCATAGCCTGTTCCTCTTCCTTATTTGAAGGTGTTTTTACCTTTCTCCAGATTCCAAAAGTTACTTCCTCCTTCCTTTGTTCTCCTCTGCCTTTGCCTCTTTTAAAAAGTTCTAAGTTGCTAGCCAGTTGGGACAAATATAGAATGTGAGGTCCTGTTCCAGCCAATGGAAACCGGACACAGCAGTAGGGTGGAAGCATCAGGTTATAAATGACCCTGTCTCCTTTGTTCGGTGTACTCTCATTGCAAAACTGCTGGCAAGTGTACCCTTTCTGCAGAAAATATAAAAATGGCCTTGCTGAGGAAATGATATTCAAGTGGTATTTCTTTATGGCACCAAGGAACAGGCATTTCAAACAAAAAGTGTTATTTGCAACATATATGAGATAAAATTTTTGTGATGTCATAGTTTTTCAATAGTTTTATGCTTTTATTGTGATGTAAAATAATGATGTATTTTACAGTTGATACATACGATACTTCTTGCAATTACTTGGAAAAAGCTGTCACTAGTAGCAAATATTGACTTAGTGTTTAGTGCAGAACTATGTAAAACAAAAATGACTGACACAGATCTCATTCAATTCAGAGAATTATTTTGCCATGTTTAAGGATAAAGAAACACAAGTCACAGTAGGCTCTGTGGCCTGTGCTTTTTCCAAAGAAGGTTTTGCTGACTTCCATATTTATAGAGGTGAGACCAGGGAGGAGTGGATGGAGGATAAAGAAATGGGGGAAAGACAGCGAGGCAAGTGTTACATCCAAATTAGCACTCACTGCATCCAGAGGTTGCATGTGTAAAGAGGAATGGGGTAAAAGTTAATTGTGCATTTGTCTTGTGCGTGGTAGATCTACATTTTACATAAGATAGGCAAACTTGTGAAATTACAGCTGACTCTTTGGGAACAAAAGGAAGGTAGTATTAGCATGACTCAGTTTCCAACTTTTCCTTTGGCACAGTGAGTTTGGGGTCCCAAAATTTTATTTTCCTTGTTCTTCAAAATATTTCAGAGAAAGCATTTTAGAAGAAAATGAGTGTTTGGTTATATTTTTTCCCTAATCTTTCAACATTAGGATGGTTTATTCCTAGAAAGTTAGGATCTACATTTTTAAGGAGACTCATTCTAGAAGGTTGTGAAGAAATAGGGGGAATAAAAAATAAAGGGAAAAGATAAGAAAAAAGAGACACAGCTGGATTATAGCAACAAAGTAGAAAGCAATCCTTGAAAACTGATAGACTATATTACAGAGCAGTCCATATATAACTAGATAGTCCTGAAATCTTTTATGTAAATAAATAAGATGCTGTTGTTTCTCCCAAAGTTTAAGTTTTCTAGTTTCAGTGTGCAGGGCTTTACACAAAGCACAGTTTTAATTTCTACTAATTCCAAGTCAGAAAAAAATGGGAAAAAAAAATAAAACATTGAAAATGTTAGTTTGGAGACTTGTAACCGGCAAAGAATTTAGGATCCAGTCTAGCTAAATTGTAGGCAAATAATAAAACTGGAAAGCAATGAACAGGGCTAGAATCCAATAAAGGATGTACTATAGTTTCATTTGAAATACATTTTTCTTTCTATAGTCTTCCATTTTTACTAAAGAAAAATCATAGTAAGACCAACTTATTTCCAAAGTAAGTTTTCGTTTTATTGTACTTGGCCTGATTATTTTCACAAAGTGCAGCAAGGATATTTTTTTTTCCATATAGGCTCTTTTAATTTGGCATTGATGGAACTTTTTTTTTAAACAAAGTGTCTAAGATTTGACTTTTCAAAAAGCCCCTCAAGCTCAAACAAGGATTTATTGTGCCTGCAAATAACTTATGAACTGGGTGAATTCCTCTCATCTTGAGGTCGCAAGATTACTTGGAGTTCCTAGGCCTGTCAGAAGGTAACATGCTTTTCTTACCACAGGTTAGAAAATCTGTAGAGAAGGTACAAGGCCAGTCTCTCCAAGGGAATTTTATTGGCTCTATTATTCAACCTAAATTTGTCAAAGCAATCTGCTCATAGATGAAAATATGCTATTCCAGCCAAAGCCTTGGCAAGGTAACTACTGTCTCCAATTGTATCATGATACAAAAAAAAATATCATATCGATCATATGCAAATAACTTATAATACCATAAATTAAGAATATTCAGAAATAATTCTAATATGTCTTAGTATATGTTATCAGTAATAATTATGATTATTACGCTGAATTGTTATGTGTCACAGAAATGACCAGATTTCTTTGTTGACTGTGTCTTTAACAATGGCCTCATTGGACACAGTGACTCATGCCTGTAATGTCCTCACTGGGCACAGTGGCTCATACCTGTAATCCCAGAACTTTAGGAGGCTAAGTTGGGAGGATTGCTTGAGCTCAGGTGTTTGAGATCAGCCTGAGCAAGATAGTGAGAACTTTTCTCTACAAAAAAGTCAAAAAATTAGTTGGATGTGGTAGCACTTGCCTGTGGTCCCAGCTCCTCTGGAGGCTGAAGAAAGAGGATTGCTTGATTCCAGGAAGGTGAGACTACAGTGAGCCATAATTGTGCCACTGCACTCCAGCCTGCGTGGCTTCAGACCCTGTCTCAACAAAATCAAAGTAAAATTAATAAAACAATGGCTGTCCTGAGATTACTGTCACCCACAGATTATTGTGCTCTTTTTTTTTTAAACTATTCAAAATGTGTTTGCTCTTTGAAATGTTCTCTTGAATACAGGTTTCTGATAACTAAAGATTGTGGCATTGAAATAGGAAAAAAACAAAACCAAACAAACAAACTTCCAGGACTGTCAGAGATAGCTGGTATGTTTATGAGGACTGCAGGCCTAATGTCAGACAAAGTTAACTGCATGGACTGAACTAATAGAAGAAATAGAACACCACAATAATCCTTTTATGACTTGTTGCTTGAAATGTTGCTGATCTTTTTTGTTGTTTTTCAGAGTCAAGACAACATTTTTTCTTCTCAGCTATTTACAGCTTTTCATGATTGAGTAAAGTATATTCCTGTGAACAAAAGATGAAGGATATTTCATTTTCTCTACTTGATTTCTCCAGAATTTGAAAACTATTTATTTATGAGTATTCTATACTATGGAGATATAGTTATTGACATAAGTAAAATAAGAATCTGATTTCTTTTGTAAGAGAACACAATTGGAGACACTGATTATTTTACCAAAGATGTGATGATGTTACCAGTGGAATGGCCTACTTTCAGATACAAACAGACAGGCTTGAGGAATTAAAGTTGACTAACAGACATGATAAAAGCCCCTTAAGAAACTGACCTCATAACTGTCTACACAGGCCTTGTACAGGGTTCCTGACCTGTGGTTAGTAAAAAATGTCACATTCTGACAGGCCTATGATTCCTAAATTATCTTGGGAGCTGAAGAAGAGAGAATTTCAAGCAATCTGTACAAGTATTTGCAGGCACAGATACATCCCTTGAAGGCTTTAAAAAAGTCCAATCCGAGATTCCTTAGGGAACAAAGTTCCAGCAAACCCAATTTAGAAAGAGCTAATATGGCAAATAATTATTCTTGCTGAACTTTACGCAAATAATCAGGCTAAGTATAATAATACCAAAACTTATTTTGCAAATAAATGTGTCCTACTATGATATGTCTTTAAAAAATGAGAACTAGAGAGCGAAACATTGTATTTCAGAAAAATACTATAGCACACCTGTTGTTACATTCTAGTCTTGTCTATTGTTTTTAAGCTTTTTATTGTTTTCTGCATTTTGTACTGAATCCTGAAATCTCTCAGAGCTAAAGTGCTCAAACTAACACATTCACATTTTTCTTCCCCTTTTCTGACCTGGACTCAATGAAATGGCTACGAACTTCTTCCCAAGGCCCTGCAGGCTGAAGCTTATCCCTTGAGATACAGATGCGAAATATGTGAGATTGTCATCACTATCCTCCTTTGCAACTTAAAAATGCTTTGAATCTAACATCTGGATGCATTGTGCCCAATATAAATCTTTGTTATTATTTTCTATTTCCATACAAATGCCTGTTATTAAAAATGTTTTTTGCCTTAATCACATAAGGGGGCCTAGTTCATTTGCAGTGACGCCTCCTGGAATGAAACACTGCTGGGATCTATTCTGAGGACTAGGAAACTAACTAAAAAGATATGAGATGGTATATTTAAATTTGCTCTTTCCTGTTTATCCAAATTTGTCTTTCTAACAACCTCTGACCCATATCTCTCTTGACTATTGACCCCATGTCTGACTGGTTCTTGGCGCTATTCACCCAAATCGCTCAGGGATTTAGATGAATTATATAAGGACTTCTGAAGCTAGGACTTCCACTCCTTATATTAGGACTCATTATCCTATAGTCAGCTGTTCACTTAAGTGCTGTACTAAAACTGTGGATGAGAGCACTAACATCTTGGTCATGCAAGCCTAGGAACCCCAACCAGGCACCTGTGAATACATGCAGGCAGCTGCAAAGCAGTTTCATTCCATTTACTCTGGGCCAAACCCTATCCCAAGTATACCCCTTGTCAGCAGGAAGAAGTTAGAATGGTCTTTGGCCTTTTCCCAACTCTGTACCTCACCCATTAAGAATAAGATGCAATGAAACTTGCAAAGGGAAATTGGAATCACGTTTGCAAAAACAGTAACAGTAAGAAAATTATGATAGGGAGAGAGATATGACCTAAGTGACTTCATCTTGCATTTAACCTCCAAGAGGCCTTTGCTGATTCCTGGGCAAAAACAAACTAACTTCGGGAGAAATTTACTTTGTAGCTTAACTTTGAAACAAAGATAATGACAGCTCCTCCCTGAAACAAAACCCCTCATTGTTTGGGGACCACATCAACTTTGTAAAACTAACAAATTAACCACAATATTAGAAAGTATGGCTCAGGAGTCATACAATCAGAGGCCACAATATTAATAACCTCCCCGATTGCTCCTATAAATAGCATTACTATTGTAAAACCTAAGATTGGTGTTTGAGGTATTTTTCATAACTTGCATTCTGACAGATCAGTGGGTGCCACCTAAACCCATAAACTGGCTCATCTGGATACGTGGCCCACACTCAGGAGCTGAAGTCAGTAAAGAAGATGGCTTTGACTTCCTAAGATTTCATCCCTGACCCAACCAATCAGCATGTCCCTTTCTCTAACCCCTGCCCACAAAACTATCTATAAAAACTCTAGCCTCTGAATATTTGGGGAAGCAGTTTTGAGTAATACGAAAACTGCTCTCTCCTTTAGCTGGCTCTACATGTATAAAATCTTCTCTACAGCAATTCCCCTATCTTGATAAAGTGACTCTATCTGGGCAGCAGCCAACATGAACCCATTGACCATTAACAACCCAACTGCTGAATTTTGTATGAAGATAACTTGTTTTGATTTCATGGGCTGACAGAGGAGACTTTAGATTTGGGAACTTCCTGCTGGTGCTAGAACAATTTAAGCCTTTGAACGATAGGAATTAAATAAACTTTTTGTAAGTGACAGGGCTTTATTTTTAGAGTCAGAAGTGGAGTCCTGTGGTTGGAATATTGCTTCCCTCCAAAATTTATGCTGAAATTTCATCCCTAACATGGCAGTACTGAATTGTGAGACCTTTAAAATGTGACTGGATCATGAAGAGTTTGACCCCATAAATGAATTAATCCTTTCATGGATTAATAAATTAATATTTAAAGATTAATAGTCTACTATGAGAGAAGAGTGGCTTATAAGAAGGGAGACATGATCTTGCATGTCAGCAAGCTCTACTCCATTGCCATACGCTACCCTGTAGGCTTCAGAACTCTTCAGAGAGTTCCAACCAGGAACAGGATCTCGCCACATACAACGTCTCAACCTTGGACTTTTCAGCCTCCATAACTGTATGAAACACATGTGTTTTCTTTATCAACTACCCAGTTTCAGGTATTCTGTTATAAGTAACAGAAAATGGACTAAAACAAAGTCTTAGTATTACTATGCCCTGTTATTAAGTTCAATGGAATATTACAACCATTCCAGACAAGAATACAAATGATCCAGATCTTTCAGGAATGAAGGTTTGCATCACCCTGCCAGGTAAAGACCCAGGACCAGCAGAGGGGCTTGCTGAAGACAAAGAGAATACTGAATGGGTAGCAGTAGAAGGGAGTTACAAATAGCAGACAGGACCAGGTGACCAGTTAAAGAAACAAGGATTAAAATTGTCACTAGTATTTCCTATCTACTTTAAGAATACATTTGCATGTTATATATACATTTATTAGCCAAATAACATTGTTTTTATTTCTCTCTTCTTTTATCACATAACACAAGAATGCATTAACTTGATATTAGCAGTTAAGTGTTAGTAATTTAATATATTTGTATTGAAGTTATGGGGTATCAGAAGAGTAAACATCACCCACAAACTTCTACTACTCTTAAGAAAAATAGTATAGTGTGTTCTGGTTGCACACAGGATCGTTGCATAATGTTAGGTAGAACTATTGCCTTGTTATTGTCTGTATTTGAAGATTAGTTATGGCTTAAGGTGACACATATAGGTGCCAACTAGAAAGGTGCTGGATTTGTCATGGTTAATTTAAGACGCTGACTGGATTACAGAATACCTACAGAATTGGTGAAGCATTACTTCTAGGTGTGTCTGCCAGGGTGTTTCCAGAGGAGATTGGTGTATGACTCAGGGAATTTAGTGGAAAAAAATCCACCCTCAATGGGGGAAGGCAGCATACAATCTCCTTGGGGACCAAATAGAACCAAAAATGAAAAATTTTTAAAAAGTCTTCCTGTCTCTCTCTCCTGAAGAAGGTATACTCCTTTTCCTGCCCTTGGAAAACAGAATTCCATGATCTATGGCCTTGAAACTCCAGAAGTTACACCAGTAAATGCCCTGGATTCTCAGGCCATTGGTCCCAAACTGAGAATTACACCAAGGGCTTCCCTGATTCTGAAGATTTCAGCTTTGGACTGAGCCACCAACGCTACAGCATCCAAGGTCCTTAAACTCACAGATGGCTGTCTCGGGAATGCTCCGTCTCTACAATGTTACATGAGTAAATCCCCAAACAAAATGCCGCTCATTGAACTATTATCTATCTATCAACTCTCCATCTATATATGTATCTATCTACCTACCTATCTACCTCCCTGTCTCTCTGGAAAAAAAAAACAACTGACAAATACACCCATAAAGACTTCAGCCAAATGGTGCAATACTATGTCTGTCTCTAGTTGCTCCTCCACCACCCCTGCTGCTTATGAGTGTATGTCCTGGAGAGCTCTTCTCTTTCCATCTGCACTTCAAGGAATGCTGCCCTCTTCTTACTGGGATTGGTTAGTAATACATGACTCATGCCATTATACACATTTTGTTGAGTTGCCTCCTCTGTATTTCACTTTACGAACACACATGGACATCACTTTTCTCCCACTTAGCACTCTCCTAGAGAGTGGTTACCTTGGTAGAAATAAACTAGACACAGGTCAGACAGGAGCCACAGGGTGTCTTACAGTATAAAGAAGTACTCTGTGAGAGGGATACCTGGATGTAAGCTGGACGGTTGGGCTTTAGGCCATCGACCAGGATAAGTAAGCATCCCATGAAAGGCACAGCCAGTACCAAACCCTGAGTCGTATTGGGCAAGGTTATAGGTTATAGTCACCATCCAGAGAGGCCTTAACAGCAAACAGAAGTAAAAATAAAACACATGCTGTGAAATAACACACATGCTGCGAGATAATTTTATAAACTATAGTTCCAGGAATCCTTGAGAGGGAAAGTAAAACTGGCAAGGCATTATTTGAAAGTTTGCACTGGAGTGGTAGCTCTCCAAAGATAAACAAAAATCTCAGGCCAGGTGCGGCGGCTCACACCTGTATTCCCAGCACTTTCGGAGGCTGAGGCGGGCGGATCATGAGGTCAGGAGATCCAGATCATCCTGTCTAACATGGTGAAACCCTGCCTCTCCTAAAAACACAAAAAAATTAGCTGGGCATGGTGGCGGGCGCCTGTAGTCCCAGCTGCTGGGGAGGCTGAGCCAGGAGAATGGCGTGAACCTGGGAGGAGGCGCTTGCAGGGAGAAGATCACGCCACTGCACTCCAGCCTGGGTGACAAAGTGAGACTCCGTCTCAAAAAACAAAACAACAAAAAATCTCTATCTAGAGGATTTCAGACCTAATCATAGAAATATAAACAATGATCTCTGTAACTTATTCATTTATTTATTTAATGGGGTTTCACTATGTTGCCCAGGCCGGAGTGCACTGGTTATTCACTGGCACAAGCATAGCACGCTACACAGCCTCAAAATCCTGGTACCACATGTTCATCCTACCCACCCACCCTAGCAGCTGGGACTGACTACAGGTGTGTGCCACCACACTTGCACGGATACAATTTTTAAATCAAGAAAGTTGCACTTCTTTTTCTTCTTTCCCAT
Source organism: Homo sapiens (assembly GCF_000001405.40). NCBI lineage: Eukaryota > Metazoa > Chordata > Mammalia > Primates > Hominidae > Homo > Homo sapiens. The sequence continues at coordinate 24,144,600 of NC_000015.10, read as the reverse complement.
AGTCATTCTAATCATGTGAAGAATGATCATACAAATCATTTTATGATTAGTTACTGCAGATGTAGATGCATTATAGTTTCCATACAATCTTTTATGCTGTCCACTTGTTACTTGGATCAACTTTGTTTTTGAATACTTGAGAAGAAGAATGGGCTTTAGCGTTCCCTGAAGAAGAGAGTAAAATAGAAACTCATCTGATTTATATTTTATAATATTATTGCATTTGTGCCATGAGATTTAGGTTCCATGAAGGCTCAATTAAGTTAACAGGGAGACCTGATCTCAAATATATGAGCCATGTCTACACTTCTATTTATTTTGAAATAATTTTAGATTAACAGAGAGTTGTTAAAACCTTACATAAAGTTGTATATACCCTTCAATTTCCTATTATATTAATATCACAACAGAACCATAGACTATCTATGAAAACTCAAGAACTGATAAAGGCGCAAAACTATTAACTAAAGTACTGACTGTCTTCATATTTTACCAGGTTTTCCACTAATGCCATTTTTCCTTTTTTTGGATCTAATCAAGGATAACATATTATGTTTACCGTTAAGTGTATTATTGTTTATTGCAGCATAGCCAATAACCACATAACTTAGTGGCTCAAAAGCACATACAAATTACTCACAGTTTCTCTGAGTCAGGAATTCAGATGTAGATGATGGCCAAGGCTGAGGTCTCACCTGAGGATCAGCTGGGGAGGAATCATCTTCTAAGTTCTCGTGATTGACCTGGTTGAGAAGACTTCACTGATGATTTATATGAAACCCTTAAAATATTAACAGCAATTTTTTACTAACTGTTCTCCAAAAAGATAAAATAATAGAGAAGAGATCAGTGTGCAATACATTCTATGAGGCAGTTTCCTCTGAGGCCACTACCAAACAAAAACAGTCCAAAAAAGGAAAACTATAAACTCATATGCTTTATGGATACCCAAGCAATAATTCTCGAGGAAATAGTCTGAACACAGATCAGGATCGTAAAACAGAATTAAACACTAATTTATTTATTTATTTTCTCAGGATCACAAGTTTGGTAAAACATATAAAAAGAATTAGTGTAATCACTATATTAATATAATAAATGACAAAATTTTCTTTATCACATCTAAAGATATGGAATAAGCACTTTCCAATTCAAAAAACCACTCACAGTAAAAACACTAAACAAATTTTGCATAAAGGGAATGTTCTTACCTAACACAGGCACCCATGAAAAATTCACATGACAACACATGGTATCAAGTAGGTCTCAGTAATTTTCCCAAAATTACAAACACAAAAGGTTATCTATTCCACTAATTCAACTAAACATTATGCCTGAGGATGTAATTTATAAAATTAGGCTGGAAAAATAAATATAAGACTTCCAAATTGAAAGGGAAGAAGTCAAACATCTATTGGCCAGTGACATAATCTAATGTATAGAAAATCCTAAAAAATTCACTAAAATAAGGTTGGAACAAAAAAAAATTCAGTATGCATGATCGATGTAATAAATTGCATTCTTATACAATAGAAACTAATCAAATAATGAAACTCAGAAAGTAATTTCATTTAACATGGCATCCAAAAGGAAATATATTTGAAAATAATATAACTGCAAGATATATATACTGAAAATTACAAATGATATTGAAGTATTAAAGAAATCCTAAATAAATGAATAAAAGAATTAGTGTAATATACTATATGAACTAGATTTTCATTGATCAGAAAGCTATTAAGTATTAACCAAGATGCTTATACTTTCTAAATGCATCTTCAGATTCAATACAAGCCCTACTAAAATTCTAACTTTAATTTTTTTTCATTTTTAGCAACTCTTGGACCACTGACTCTAAAACGCACAGAAAAATGCAATTGATCCAGAACAGCCCAAGGAATGTTAAATATTTTTTACAGAAACACAAATGACATTTATAGAAGTATGTATGTGCTGTGCATAGTGATGTTTTTTCCAAAAGGTACAACATGAGAAGGGGAATAATATTAATTTTATAGTGGAGAAAACTGAGCTAAACTGCCTCATCCGTGTGATCAAATAACATTAACCATGATAAAGCAGCTGGGCACAGTGGCTCACACCTGTAATTCCAGCACTTGGGAGCCTGAGGTGAGAGGATCGCTTAGGGCCAGGACTTAGAGACCAGCCTGAGCAATGTCGTGAGACTCTGCCTCTACAAAAGTACAAGTAAAATTAAATCACCCAGATGTGGTGGCACATGCCTGTAGTCCCATCTACTCAAGAGGATGAGGTGGAGGATCATTCAAGCCCAGGAGTTCGAGGCTGCAGCGAGCTTTGTTCATGCCACTGCACTCCGGCCTGAGCAACAGAGTGAGACCCTGTCTCAAAAAAAAAAAAAAAAAAAAAAAAAACTGATACAGCATGTTGACACTATGTACTCTTGTTATAATATCATGAGAATAAAAGTTTCCCTCTGTGGGTTTCCTCTGCTAAATCCACAACAGCCATCCAATCATTAAGAAAACACCAGAGACATCCCAAAGGAAGGATTTCAATGATATCAGAAATAAGGAAAATCTGAGAAACTGGCACACGATACCTAAATGTGATGTGGTGTCCTGGGTGGAATCCTGGAACAGAATATGGACATTAGGTGAGAACAGAACATCTGATTAATTGTGAATGTTGCTGAATGATAATGTATAATATTGGTTCATCAATTGCAACAAATGTCTCAAATGAATGTAAGAATTTATAAAAGGGAAATTATGTGTTGAATATATATAAACTCTCTGTATGTACTTCTAACTATTCTGTAAATCCAAGCTATTCTAACACAGACTTAAAAAATAAATAAAATATATATATTTTAAAAATTACACTATTGAGCTTACTAAGCAGAACACTGTCGATCTCGTAGCGTCCCAGGTGCTCACCTCCCCATTCCCACGCTTTTTGTTACCCTGGTGAACATTACCATTATTTTTAATTTTCCTTTTCCCATTCGCAAACTTTTCTTTCTTAGTTTTGGTCTCTAAATTTGTATTTGTTAATAATGTCCTGTTTGCTGTTTCTTCTCTTCACAAATAGATAATTACATGTCTCTCTCTATATTGCTCAGTAAAATTATGAGAAACATTCAGAGAAATCTGGATTTTGATACATTTTACAAACTATGTGACCTGTTTTCTCACAAAGTGAGGACTGAGAACCTGTCCCAGATTAAGCAAGACCTGACGTTGGCAGGTGAACTCTCAGATGGTGCACAATGATCCTCAGAGCTTAATTAGAATATCTAATCCTTTCCTTGTGACTTTGGGGAGAAACTGAAACTTGCTTTGATATATCAGAAGACTACAACCTGATAGGATGTCACTTGGGTAATCATGTTACCTAAGATTATGATACCTGTCTTGCTGCAAGCTCTCTGTCATGGTGGCTTTGATGACACATTCTGCCATGGGAGAGAAGCCAACATGGGAAATAACTGCATGCAGCCTCTGGCCACAGACAGCAAAAAACTGAGGCTCCTCATCCAGTGTCCTCCCCTAGAGGTTGCAATTTATATTTACTACTAATCTAAGCTCCTGTCATATAAAAGTATACAGCCTCAGAAGTAGTGTAACCATCTTATAAAAGAATAGTTCTAACTATTTCTTCCTTTTTCCTGTATTTTTTCTTTTCTCCCTTTTTTCCTTTCATTTTACTTATATGTATATATATACACACATATCTATATATATCTTATACTTAGGAAAATATAATTAAATTAATTGCTGCTTTGTTTTTTTTTTGAAACAGAGTCTTGCTCTGTCACCCAGGCTGGAGTGCAGTGGCACGTTCTGAGCTCACTGCAACCTCTGCCTCCCGCATTCAAGCTATTCTCCTGCGTCAGCCTCCTGAGTAGCTAGGATTACAGACATACATCACAATGCCCAGCTATTCTTTGTATTTTTTCTTTTTTAGTAGAGATGGGGTTTCACCATGCTGGCGACGCTGGTCTCAAACTCCGGAACTCAGGTGATCCACCAACCTCGGCCTCCCAAACTGCTGAGATGTTATAGGCCTGAGCCACTGGGCCTGGCCTTGCTACTATTTTTTTTGAAAGGCACCTGTCTGCTATTGAATATAATTATATTAAATAAGCTCTTATATGTAAGATCAATTAAGAATATGAAAATTAAAAGTTTTTATCTTGAGTAACCAATAAAAAAGTATAAAAAAGTCTGAGATGCTAAGAAAGAAGATTGAATTATATGAAATGCTGAATAAAAACCACAAAAAAAGGAAAATGAATGGAAGACAAAAATGGAAACAGGGAAGCGCAAAAACTAGAAGATTCTAACAAACATGGTGGATATTCATCCAACTATATCAATCATCACTTTGAAAAAGTGTCAACACCTAATTCAGAACAATCACAATCAGAATACCAAGATACGTGTGAATTTATGAATTAATTTCAATATTGCTTTCATTTTTATATGAATAAAGTGTAAATTTAAAATTCTAGAAGGACTTTTTCAATAAGGGTAAATAAGTCTGTTATGTGTATAAGAGTTGAGACAGAGATATTATTCTTTTTTTGAGATCCTTCTTCAGTCTTTGATTCATTAACATACTGTGGATGTCCCCAACGAGACTACTACAGACATTACATATTTACCAATCTGAGCTTCCCTTTAGTGATACAAAGGCCTGCTCGCTTGTCCATCTTTGTCTGTGAGTTTGGTGAACGTTGTTCCTTACTCAGCTTCACATTGACAAGTATATCCATATAGGCGGTGGTACAGTAATGATTGCGTAATTGCAGGAAGAATGAAACAAAATGTTGTGGAAAAACTTATGGCAATTGGACATGGCTTATCACAGGTAAAAATGGACGATTTATCTGGAAGGATGGATTGCAAGACAGCGCACATCAAACAATGAAGGACAGTGACATCTGAGAGACGTGAAACAATGAGGGCTACTGTTGCCTCAGGTTACTGCTTGGGGAGAGTTTCCAGGCTGTGGTGTGGCACGGACTCTGGAAGACCCTCAGAGTTGAGAAGATGGAACTGACAGTCTGGAGAAAGAGGTGGCTGAATTTCATGAAGCCATTCTCCATGGCTGCACGAGGAGGGAGCACGCATGCCAACAGCCATGCAGGCCGGACTGTGGTGCCATCATTACTCCACTGAGACATGGTTCACAGGAGTACTGGCGCAGTACAGAAACAAAAAGCAAAGATTGAAAGTAAAGTAATTTAAATGAATTATTTAATAAACAGTAATTCCCCTTTATGCTTTCATCTAATTTCTGACTACAAAAAGACAAAGTTTTCCATGACTCAGTGATCTTGCATCCAACCCAAGAATGAAGGAATACACACTGTTTAGAAACAAAGTAAATGGTGTGTTAGGTAGATTCAGTCACCCTGTGTGGACACCAACCTGCCTTTCCTATGTTATCCTGTTAGTTGTGGCTGGTAAAATCACTACATTACGAAATAATTAAAGTATAGTTTTCTACTTATAAGAGAACAATACATTTGTCACCAAAAGGAGAAGCCAATAAAGGTTTCTTCCTTCATTGATTTTCCTTAAAAAAATCTCCAGTTTCCTTTGCATCTTAAAAATATTTTTTCTCTTTTGGGTGATCATGATGTGTCAATGTAGGTTCATCAATTGTGTAACAGTGGTATCACATTGTTGTTTTAACTTGCATTTCCCAAATGACATACAAGGTAGAGCATCTTTTTGTATGCTTATTTGCTATCTGAATATCTTCTTTGGAGAGGCATCAGTTAAGGCCTTTGGCACATTTAAAAAATCAGGCTGTGTGCTTTCTTATTGTTGAGTTTTTTTTTTTTTTTTTTTTTTTATTATACTCTAAGTTTTAGGGTACATGTGCACATTGTGCAGGTTAGTTACATATGTATACATGTGCCATGCTGGTGCGCTGCACCCACTAATGTGTCATCTAGCATTAGGTATATCTCCCAGTGCTATCCCTCCCCCCTCCCCCGACCCCACCACAGTCCCCAGAGTGTGATATTCCCCTTCCTGTGTCCATGTGATCTCATTGTTCAATTCCCACCTATGAGTGAGAATATGCGGTGTTTGGTTTTTTGTTCTTGCGATAGTTTACTGAGAATGATGGTTTCCAATTTCATCCATGTCCCTACAAAGGATATGAACTCATCATTTTTTATGGCTGCATAGTATTCCATGGTGTATATGTGCCACATTTTCTTAATCCAGTCTATCATTGTTGGACATTTGGGTTGGTTCCAAGTCTTTGCTATTGTGAATAGTGCCGCAATAAACATACGTGTGCATGTGTCTTTATAGCAGCATGATTTATAGTCCTTTGGGTATATACCCAGTAATGGGATGGCTGGGTCAAATGGTATTTCTAGTTCTAGATCCCTGAGGAATCGCCACACTGACTTCCACAATGGTTGAACTAGTTTACAGTCCCACCAACAGTGTAAAAGTGTTCCTATTTCTCCACATCCTCTCCAGCACCTGTTGTTTCCTGACTTTTTAATGATTGCCATTCTAACTGGTGTGAGATGATATCTCATAGTGGTTTTGATTTGCATTTCTCTGATGGCCAGTGATGATGAGCATTTCTTCATGTGTTTTTTGGCTGCATAAATGTCTTCTTTTGAGAAGTGTCTGTTCATGTCCTTCGCCCACTTTTTGATGGGGTTGTTTGTTTTTTTCTTGTAAATTTGTCTTGAGTTCATTGACACATCATGATCACCCAAAAGTGAGCAGAAAGGTAAACAAAGCCTCTTTCTTGTGAATGTGAAGAAATGAGAGTAGGATAAAGAGTGTAAAAGTATTAAGAAAAGAATTACTAAAACAAATCAAGCTTTCCCTGGATCACTTCCTATGAAGACATATACAATTCCTCTTTTTAAAAGAAAATTTACCTAAAACCACAATGCATGTATAGTTACCACTTTCCATGGCAGTTCTGATGACATATAAAAATACATTTGAATTGGATTCTGTAAAGCATGTAATTTAAACATTGGTACAACGCTCTAAGTGGGTTTATAGAATCCATGGGTCTAACATATAGGTGAAATCATGTTACGATGGAATTCTTTCAATTATTCAGGTAATTTTATCCCAAACCATGCTCTGCTTACTATAATACTAAGGTGCTGTTATTCAGTGAAATGCTGTTTCTCACTGCTTTTTGTTATTTTCATTGTAAATAAATTCAAGAGCACTACAACTAAAAAAAAAAAAAAAAAAAAAAAAAAAAAAATATTTTTTCTCTGTTCTTCACCACATGAATGCCCCAGGCTATGTAGTTTGCATGAAGTATAGGGTTGCTCTTTAGACACAGTGAAATTAAGTTAAGTTGTAACCCAGTATACTATTTTCCTAAAAATTACCTTTGCATTTTTTCTTTTTCTCAGTGTTCACCTCTTGCTTAGCTCCTCAGAAATGCAAATGTAACCTTTTCTTTCCTTCGTTTCCACCAGTGAAACAACCTGCAAGTATTGCCAGCTTATCTAAGTATATGTTTCCTTAGAAATTCTAAGGACCAAATGTTGAACCAAAGCAGGCAACATCCAGAATTCTCCCTCACAAGGACACTGTCTCAAGACAATAGTTAATCCACATTCTGACTCTTTCCTCAATGACACTGGTCAGACTAACAGATGACCCCTTAGCTAAGTTTTACAGCAAGTCACATAGACCCCACACCTCCATGTTCCTTCTGCATACCCTGCACAAGAAAGTTTCTCTTCTTAAAACCCTGCTTTCTTCCCGGAAAACTGAAGCGGCTCCTTTAGATATGAACCTGGTTCTTCTCCATTGCTAAGCTGTGAAATAAAGTCACTTTCTTTTTACCACCCTCTTGCTTGTTATTTAATATTGTAAGTGACAAGTGGCCAAACCTGTGTTTGGTAACAAATTTGGTGGCCCGTATGGGCAGCATTATGTGCTCTGAGCAACCCAAGCCTGTGAGCCTGGTTTTTCTACCAAGGCGGAGGGTTGCCTGTGAGCACCAGCAGCTGAAGGCTAGCAGACCCCATGGCAGGAATGTTAGGGAACTTCCAAGCAGCTGCTGAAAATCTTTCATTTCCTAGACCCTCCCTTTCACTTCCTTGCACAACTTCTGCAGCCATCAACACTTTGCTGGTACAAAGAATGTGACCTCTGAAGAAGCTGGCAGCCCATGCAACCAAGTGAGCTAGTAGAGTGCACCCCGCTTTCCTGTGTCTTCTGGGGTGTTGCTGGGGCTTTGCTGTTTCATCTGGTCCACTAATGGGACTATCATTTGAGTGTTTTACGGATTTGTATTGGTGGCACTACTGGACATTGCTCGATTTGGTCTCAGACACCCATGGAGCTGTTTTGAACAGAGGAGAGAAATTCAGGATTCTACTCAGCCCCTTAACTGGGGTTTGTTTGGAAGCTCACCATTTGTTTGTAAGTGTGAGTGTATGACCTTTGAGTGTGGGCCCTGATCTCTTCCTATCCTTTTCACTTCCAACTTCATCTTACTGACTATCTTGGAAGCCACCTACAGCCTTACTCATTTCAGTCAAAGGTACCCTTAGCTCTCTCCAGCTGTAAACAGTTTCCTTCCCCCATGATGGCAGAGGTGGGAGGGATTCGTCTCACACTGTGCATGTCTAGGGTAGCGGGGCTCTCCCTGATGGGATGTAAGCAAGAGTGGTGGGGGTACCAACCCTATACCATGCAGCGCTAGAAGGTTCACAAACCTCCTTTTCTTTCTTTTTCTTTCCCTCCTTTTAAAAGGCCTGGCAGGAACTTCATATTCTCATTCTCTTTGGGATTTCAGCTGGTTACTTATTAAGACCTACTTTTGTGAACATTTTAAACAGATAGGCAAATTCTAGCAAGAAAACTTTAGAGCTCAAATGGTTAACTGCAACTATTAAGTTAAGCAGAGTCATCAAAACCTCTCTTCCTTCCTCTGTTTTCTTTTCTGCCTGCTTCAAATTGGATGTTACTAAGCTGCCGGTGCTAAGACTCATTATTTATGGACTAACTAGAAAGTAAACACAAGAAACTTGTTTAAAACTAAAGGAAATAAAAGGGAAAAGATGCTTTTTTAAAAACAAAACTGCCATAAAGATTGCTTTACCCAAATTTTGGTTCACAGCTTTCATGGGATTATGTATTGCAGAAAACAAAATTTAGCCATGGAAACAGGTTTCAGTTTTGTCAGACAATAACGTGTATCCAGCTATCTTTATAAAATACTGAGTGTGTACTGTTATTTTATGGTTAGAATCCCAAGGTAAAAGCTATTAGAACTTTACTTCTGTGTGTATACATATTTAGATATGTTTGTGTGTATGTATGTGTATTATGTGTTATGTCTAGCCTGCTACCAAATTGACTTACAAGTAAATAAGTGCTCATAAATTAAGTCAGGATGCTTTTCAAGTTCACGTAAATTTAGTAATCCTTGAGAAATAAAATTGGTTTTAAGATTATTCGTGACATAATATTGGAAATATCTTCAAAATGATCAGCATATATTTTTATCTGAGTTTACTGAACAAATGATTTTGTATTTATCTCTGTCTATATCATCAGGTGTCAGGATATGACATAAAGGTTATAAGACCATAAACCCAGCCAAAAACAGAATCATTTTTGTTTGTGTGATTTTACAGATGAGTTAGACTAATTTAATATTACTAGTTCAGTGAAAACAGTTAAATCTTCTGTGCTATTGACAAAATGCCCATATATTGAACTTTAAGGTTCTTACTTAGGTAAAACACCTAATGTCCACAGACTTTAAAAATGGGTCATAGGGACATAAATAAATAATTACTACTTTGATGTAATATCCCAGTTTTCAAAAGTACTCTAGGTAAACTGGTAAAATGGAAAAGCTGAGTACACATAAATGAGATCAATGTTTCTAAGTGAAATTTTTGTATAATTTAAAATCTTAAAATCATTTTGGATGCTTACTAGATGTCTAGGTCATTTCCAATTAAGAAAGGGTTATTATATAGAGAAAACTGTTCTAAAAATTGTGAAATGGTTCTCATCTATACAATACTAATATCTGATAGTTCAGGATTTCTTTTTTCCTAGGTTTCTATCAAATGTGCCAAAGAAGAGGTGTCCTTATTGAGAAAAAGAATTATTTTGTCTAATTCCAAAGTTATATAAAAGTTTATTCAAATTACGGGTTTGAAAAGGTTATTTATGAAACAAGCTGGGAAGGAAGCAGTAAGTGGTGAACAGAGTTGTGAAGAAAGATACAGAAAGGAACATATACTTTTGGTAAGGAAGGTTATAAAGGAAAAAGAGTAATTTTCTATGAGAAAGAATCTTGTATGGGAAATTATTCTCCTAAAGTAAAATGACTGGTTATTTAAGCAACAGATTCTTATTACAAAGTTAATCTAGAAAAAGAAAATTGAAAAAAAATTAAAAAAGAAACAGGTACTACAGGACAAGTATACAGTCCAAGCATGTGACAGATGGTCTGTGTAAGTCATGATAAGGCTTGTGAAGGGGAATTTATAAAAGAAATTTTGTATGCAATTAAGTTAGCCATAATTAAAAAGGAATTAATAAGTCTTTCTAAAGAATGGTCCCCTATGTTAAATCAAGATTTTCTTAAGGTATCAATTTACTCTTAATAAAATTACAGTAAATTTTGATTTTCTGTTCTATAATCTACTTCTTTTGAAAACTTCTGAGATTCATATCTCAAATGTTCAATTGTTGTCTTGCTGCTATCAGCTTTCTCTCCCTTTGATGTGGCCTGGGATGATAACTCTATCCTTCAGCTTCTTGTCAGCTCCTATAACTTTTTTCCTTAGTTCTAAATGTTGTTGTGGCTGATGCTGAAATATTTTATTTTAGAGGTCTATAAAAGAAATGTTTTCCTCCAGGATAACCTGATTCTATACTCTTGGGTTTTTTTGTTGTTGTTGTTTTTGGTGTGTCTAAATTTTCACTGTAATCAGGAAACTTATCATGCAGCTACTAAGAGTCATGTATTCCCCAGTTCTACTCAAAATCTTGTACACACTCTTCCCATGTTTGATTAAATTCAAGCACTTTTTATCTTAAGTTGTACTTCCAGATTATGTAAACGGGCTTTCTTCTAAGGAGAGGCACTCACACTAAGAAAGGTTTTCCTTTGACTTTTTGGTAACTGGCTTAAGAAACAAGATTTTACATTTTATCAAGATAGTTCCTATGCTGCCTTTGTTAAGTGTTTAATGCTTTTCAGAAACCCCTGAAATTTGAGAGGAGTACGGTTTTTACACCCTTGTAACTTTTTCTATTGCCTTTAAATCACTTTGGTTAAATGAATAACTATTGTTTCACAAGGACCTGTGGTTTAGTTTTGATCAAGTATTTTAAGCTTTCTCACATCTTTCACAGACATCTCTCAAATTGAATCCTAAATTAAGTCTCTGACTTATTTCTGGGGCTTATCAAAGGTAAAAAACTTTAATCACTGTGAAGTGTATCACCACCTCCAACACCCTGAAAAAGTTCTTATCAGGTGCTATTAACTAATCTTTCTGGTGTTAAGGTACAAAGAATTGACTCCAGGATACATGTAGCTCCTCTAAAGAAGACACAGAATCCTGCCAGCATCTAACATATATAATTTATTCTGTGACTTAATATTAAATAATTTAAATGTTTATCTATCTATAGGCTTCCTTTCCTGTCACTCATTCTTTTTTTTTCAGACGGAGTCTCACTCTGCTGCCCAGGCTGGAGTGCAGTGGCATGATCTTGGCTCGCTGCAATCTCTGCCTCCCAGGTTCAAGCAATTCCCCTTCCTCAGCCTCCCGAGTAGCTGGGACTACAGGTGCGCACCACCACGCCCAGCTATTTTTTTGTATTTTAGTAGAGACGGGGTTTTACCATGTTGGCCAGGATGGTCTCGATCTCCTGACCTCGTGATCCACCCATCTCAGTCCTGTCACTCTTAGGAAAAGACAAGACTTATGGCATTTTTGCTTAAAATGTTGTTAATGGTGAATATTTTGTTTTATTAATATATCCAGAATTTAAAACTGTTCAATTCCTGCAGACCCAGGGACTATCATGGAAGGTATGAATGCATGAGATTGTAAGGGCCGGTTCTTGTGGAATAAAATTAATTCAGACCCCCAAATAAAGGATGGGCACATGGATGCCTAAACAGCTAAATAAAATACTTATGTTTTGTATAGCTATATTTCCTATAAGCCAAGATTACAACAGCTCAATGCATAAAATTCAGAGACAATTCAGTTATATAACCTTACCTTTTGACTTTTAGTTTTTGGCTCTTACATTGCTTAAAAGAGGTTTTAAGGATTAAAGACTGCCTGCCCATGTTCATTCCAGTCTGGCCTACAACATTTAATTGGATATAAGACCTTTGATTCTAAGTCCCTTGGACATAGTGGTCTCACCAAGGAACATGATGGACACAGGTCAGGTAGCACGCCGCTCTGGCATTGACATGAGGGAAAATAGAAGCGTGGCTACCAATACTGCCTCTGGCATACCTTGACAAAAAAGGAGAATATAAACTACAAAATAAAGTCCTAAGCCCCCACCAACTTAATGGAGACTCCCTACCCGCATGTTAGCCAAAGCAACCTGAAAAACTAATTCAGGCCATGACAACAAGAGGGGTGTTGAACATGCTTCACTATACCTTCCTCCCATTATGGGAATTTAGGCACAACTGATCAGCATTAACGTTACAATAAAAACTGTAAAACAGACTCTTTATAACAATAAAATACCAAATTATGAACAGGACTTAAAAACATGCCAGGCAAGCGTTAAGTCTCACATTCCTACACTTTAAAAAAGCAGACTATGTTTACAACTGCCACAAGGTTTCTGTGTTTCTCTAGCAGCCAAGCAAGCACTAGCCTCAAGATAAGCTGACTGACTGACCTCAGACACTGTTCCACCAGCCATAACTACAGATTGAAGTAGACAAGGGACCAATTTCGGTAATTTTCTCCTGATAAAAGATCACTCACCATAAACTAGTTTTGGCCGGTTTACAGTAAATGCACACTTGTATGCCTTTGTCCTCAGAAGAACTTTTGAAATATAGGGCATAATTATAATATATTGAAAAGTTAAGTCTCTGCCCCAAAATAAATGAGTTGTGTGTTCCATGGATATTTGTTAATACACATGGGTGAGGACCACCTTCATGAACATTTACAACTCCTCCTGTAGCCTGTTAAGTATGTATAGTTAACCAACTTGTCCTCATATCTCCACTGGAGCTCTGGGTACAACTGACATTTGGGGCTTTGCACTATAATTAAGACTAAATGCTGTGTATACTTCCTGGATAACTCCAGAAACATATCCTCAGCCCTAAAAGACATGCACAAGCAAACTAATCCTATCTCCAATCTCATGATGTCTTTAAATCATATGGCTTTAGATATGTTAACTGCAGCCCAGGGTGGCACTTGTGCATTCATTAAGGCTGACCATTTTACACACATACAGACACACACACACACACACACACCAGATTATTCTCACAATATAACCCAAGCTATACATGTAGATACCCATATTTCTACTATAGATGCCCTCTGTCAGGACTCTATGACATCATGATTTAGTTGGCTTCCTGATGCATAAAATACTTTTATAGATATTATTAATACTGTTAAATGCCCTCTTCAGCTGCAATGAATTTTATTGCTGTTGTACACTCTACATGGAGATGCAGGAAATCATTCTCAGAAATTCTTGGATCCTCACACCATACATGCACAGTAAGTTCCTGCTGAAAACTCAAGAATATTTCCAACTCCAGGTAAACAGATTCCATTCTAATGCTCTGTAACTATGCTCCCTTTCAGTAGGAAGCACACCAAATGTGTATGATGCTCCAATCGCATAAAAATAAAGTGGAATTTGACAGTGGGGTGTTGTAAACAAGTACTTCATTTTCCTTAAAAAATATTTACTTTTTCTCTTTTTCCTGTGTGTTCATGTCTTACTTAGCTCCTTAGAAATGAAAATTCAAACTTTTCCCTCCTTCCTTTCCACCAGCCAAACAACCAGCAAGCACTGTCAGCTTATCTAAGTACATGTTTGCTTACAAATTACCAAATCTTGAACGAAAATAAGCATCCACCAGAATTCTCCTCCACAGAGAGATTGTCTCAAGACATCAGTTAATCCACAACCTGACTCTGTCCCCAGTGATGCTGGGCAGGCTAACGAATGACCCATGACTAGAGATAAGTCATCCATCGAGTCATGCAGATCCTACACCTCCACACCCCTTCTGCGTGCCCTGCTTGCCAATTTTTCTTCTTAAAACTCTGTTTTCTGCCCAGAAAACTTATATGGTTCCTTTAGATATGAATCCAGCCCTTCCACATTGCTAAGCTCGGGAATAAAGTGACTTTCTTTTTTTTTTTTGGAGAAGGAGTCTCTCTCTCTCCCCAGTAGTTGGGATTACAGGCACACGCCACGGTGCTCGGCTAATTTTTGTATTTTTAGTAGAGACAGGGTTTCGCCATGTTGGCCAGGCTGGTCTTGAACTCCTGACCTCAGGTGATCATCCCGCCTCGGCCTCCCAAAGTGCTGGGATCACAGGTGTGAGCCAGCACGCCCGGCCAGTGACTTTCTTTTTACTACCCTTCTGTTACTTGATTTTGGAAGTGGCCATGGCCAAACCTGGGTTTCGTAACAAAATGGTGCCAGGCTGTCGTACGACAGATGAGGGGCACTTTTTCCTTCAAGCAGGATCTGTCGATTCTGTGTACAGCACCGAAGCCCACAGACCCTGACGGCTGCCACACCTAGCAGGGCAAGTGCCCATCTCTTATTACATATTCCCATAAAATACCAGTGTTTTTGCTCTGTTGATTGCTCATGTCTCACACATCTTGAACAAGTGTGTCCAACCCTCACATGTTTTTTGACTAAGACAACAAAAATTAAAATCTAAAAAGAGCATAAGCATGAAAGCCTTTTGAGCATATTAAGGTAGATGAAAATGACAATAAATAAAAAATTGAAATTCCCTTTTTACAAGTCAATGGCACAAAAGTATTTTCTGATTACAGCACTCAATGTACACATTTTCTAAGTGGTATTTTTTATATCTCTGAGAACTAAAACCAAATTTAATAATCACTCATCAAAAATAAGAAAAATTATTATCTAATAGACTAGGTGATCTGTACAAAGAAATGTCATGCACACATTTATGGAAGTGAGGTGGAAGGAATTACGGAGTCCAGCCATTGTCTAAATCTTTGTATAAGCGGAAGATAAAGCAACATCATGAAGTTCACACCTGCACAGTTAGGAAGTGGTTGCTCCTTGTATTCAGACGTGAAGTGTTACTGTACTGCTACACAAATCAATACCTTGTTAACCTTCCACACGTACAGCAAACTAAGCCATATAATAGAAAGTTTCACACATCTTTTTAAGCATAAGGATCTGAGCCAATTTTTTTTTTTTTTTTTGAGACAGAGTCTCGGTGTTGCCCAGGCTGGAGTGCAGTGGCGCGACCTCGGCTCACTGCAGGCTCCGCCCCCTGGGGTTCACACCATTCTCCTGCCTCAGCCTCCCCAGTAGCTGGGACTAGAGGCGCCCGCCAGCTCGCCCGGCTAATTTTTTGTATTTTTAGGAATCTGAGCCAATTTTGCCTTTTGGCTTCCAGAACAGTTTCTGTCCTTCTCCTTTTCAACCAGAGATATTTCAGAGAAAATTTGCACAAAAACATAAAACAGAGAATGTGTAACATCTATCTTTTCTAATAAAAGTGATATTCACATTCAATTTAGGAGAGAGAAATATGAGAAAAGATTAAAAAAATTAAAAGTGTTCATTGAAAAATAATTGTGAATGCATTTTTAAAACAGAGGACTAAAGACCTTAAACACACAACACAAAAATAAAAATTTGATTTTAGATGACGTTTATGACAACAAAAAAAGAAAAAAATTATACCCAAGAGTTAAACACATTTGCACAACAAATCATATCAAAACCAGGATAAATATTACAATGCAAGAAATAAAGTCTTAAGGTATCACTGGTCAGCCAGCAGAATCAGTATTGAATAAACTCAGCCTTATTCAAAAGAACTGAATTCCCCACCTCACCAACAGAAAGGACAGGGAGCTGCTGCCCTTGTGCATGGAGACCCCAAACAGTGTCTCTGAGCTCAGAGGCTCCCATGTGGCTGTGACTTTGGTGGGCATGGTCTGGAGAAGAAGCAACCTGTCACGGGGTCATCTACACCAGTGCAGGAGGTTACTATGGGTGCATCTCAAGGTTTTCAATACTACTGGCTGTTGTTGAAAGTATGTATACATAAACTGGGGAGTGGTGTTGGGGGATTGTCTCAGATTCACAAGCATATTAAGGGATTTAAGAGTCTACAGCAACGTTCTAAGTTCTAAACCAGCCGGGTGCGGTGGCTCACACCTGTAATCCCAGCACTTCAGGAGGCTGAGGTGGGTGGATTGCTTGAAATCGGGAATTCGAGATCAGCCTGGGCAACAAGGTGAAACCCCATCTCTACAAAAAATACAAAAATAAAAAAATTTAACTGGGCATGGAGTTGTGCACCTGTGATCCTAGCTACTTGGGAAAGTGAGGTGGGAGGATTGCTTGAGCCCAGAAGTCGAGGCTCCAGTGAGCCAAGATCTTGCCACTGCACTCCAGCCCAGGTGTAAGAGCGAGATCCTGTCTCAAAAAACAATTAAATTTTTTTTTTAAAAAAAGTTCTAAACCTACTGCTTTATTCAAGGTACAGCTGAAAGTATTGGTGTAGGTGCAAGACATGCAGGTTGTTACATTTTTTACTTCATTATAGAGAAGTACCGTGGCTAAAAGAAGAGGCTCTGGGCCAGGCACAGTGGCTTACACCTGTAATCTTAGCACCCTGGGAGACAAAGCAGGGAGGATTGCTTGTGGCTAAGAGTTCTACACTAGCATGGGAAACACAGGAAGACCTGGTGTCTACCAAAAAAAAAAAAATTAATTAACCAGGCATGGTGGCTTGTGCCTGTAGTCCTACCTATTCAGGATGCTGAGAGGGGAGGATCACTTGATCCCAGTAGTTTGAACACATAATCTGTTCTACGACTGAGCCACTATACCCTAGCTGGACAACCGGATGAAATCTTCTATCTCTCTTAAAAAAGAAAAAATATAAAAAAATCTCTGGAGAGAAAATTATTGTTCTAAATAGACTCTCTTAATAATAAGACAGTGTGGAATAGGTGCAGTGACTCACACTTGTAATCCCAGCATGCTGGGAGGCTGAGGCGGGTAGATCACCTGAGGTCAGGAGCTCGAGACCAGCCTAGCCAACATGGTGAAACTCCATCTGTACTAAAAATACAAAACAATTAGCCTGGTGTGGTGGCGCACACCTATAATCCATTACTCGGGAGGCTGATGCACAAGAATCGCTTGAACCCAGGAGGAGGAGGTTGCAGTGAGCCATGATTGCACCATAACACTCCAGCCTGGGCAACAGAGTGACTCTGTATCAAAAAAAAAAGATAATAATAATGATAATAATAAGACAGTGTAGAATTTGCACAAAGATAGAAGAAACAACCAGTAACTTAAAAAATAAAAACAGAGCTAGAATGCAGACATATACATATATAAAAATTGATTTATACATTGATGCATGGGGGAAAGATCAATTTTTATTAAAATGTTCCAGGAAATTGAATATCCACAGGGAATAACCAATATCTGACCTTTGACCTCACATACACACAAAATCAATTCTAGTTGGTTCATAGGCTTAAATATAAAAATAAAAGAGTATTAACAAAACAATTTAGGAAAATATCTTCATGACAGAGGGTAGGCTGAGCTGTCTAACTAGACCTGAAAATTATTTACCATGTAAGAGAAGACACATTCTACATAGTCAAAGTGAGCAAAGACTCTGGGGCAGACAGTATCATACTCAAGGTTCCTTTATACCTGTCCTGTAGAAAGTCAGCTCAGACTCCGAAATGGACCACAGAGGTGAAAATCATGCTTACTTCTTGAGATGTCAGTATGGATTCTATGAAATGATAACATATAAAGATTGTTGTATACTATCAAGCCTATTCTAACCCCTAAAAATTAATTTTCTAATAAATTGCGAGATATATCATTTGCGTCAATTGTAACATGTCATTATTTCATGCACCAGAATGGAAGAACAAAACCACTAACAAATGAAGAAACTAGTACTTTTATCACTTATAAATAAATCACATAGTAATAACATAAATACATTACAATTACTGGAAAAAATATATTCAATGTGCGTACATGTGGATATTTGTCTTGTGTCATTCCTACATGGGATGGAACATACAAGAAAAATACATTGACAAAGGTTTTCCTAAATTTTCTCTCATTGAGATGTAACTCTCCTGAATCACTCTTCAACTCATCTGCTCATGATTTTCCCCATATTATTATCACCTGTGCTAATCTGACACTTTGGTGATGCTGCACTTCTTGCGAGATTCCTATGGTGCTCCTGTGAGTTTATCTTTCCAACCGTCTGAAACCCCCTATGCAAGACATGATGTTGATGGTATGACCTGAAGATGTCAATGGAAGGTTTATAGACCAAGCTCATGTATATGTAAATGAGGACAATCACGTTATGGTCGCCGTCTCGTCAATAATGTTTTAACACTATCAAATTTAAGGTGCATCTGTGTTTCACAAATGTGAAAATGTGCCCCCTATGATGAATGGAATACACTGTCCTCTGTGACTGCCCATTTCTCAGTGTTAGATTATGGTGGCTCATCAACTGTATTCTTATCTGTTATTGAAGAAACATGCTTAAATCTTATCACATAAGTTTACCAAGTGTATTTACATTCTACATAGCTATTAGAGACATTACAGTTATTAGTGGAATTCTATAATTCTTCTGTTATGCATGGAAATGTAGTTCTATGAACTATGGTTTAAGAAATCCACTGAGGAAGAAGATAGAAATTATAAAGAGTTACTTGAAAAATTCACTGGAGTGATAGCTTTCTAAAGACCTAGAAAAAGCTGTAACTTGAAACTTCCCACTGCAATCTTAGGCATTTGACCAATGACCCTTGTGAGCTTCATTATGAACTCCATTCTTTCAGCTATATCATTTATGTAACTCTGTTTTCTTCATTCCCATTTGCTGTTTTAACCATATGGTTGGTGATCATAGAAATCACTTGGTAATTAGTCACTGCAGAAGTAGATGCATAATGGTCTTTATAAAATGTTTTAATCTGCCCCCTTGCTACTCTGCTCAACCCTAATTTGGGTACTTGCATTTGAGGATTGCTTTTGGTTTTCCCTCAGGAATACCCTGATTGAAGAAGCAGCACATAAAGTATGAGTTTCTGTACACCCAAAATTCAGTCAACCTCCTAAACTATAGGAGTTTCTTTATGTGTATGCAGAAACTCACATACAAAAACAAAAACTCACATAATTTAGGAGGTTGACTGAATTTTGCCCTACAGTTTTAAATTCCAGCAAGGCTAAATTAAATAAAGATAAAGTCATGCTCTCAAATATCTAAGACATTCTTTCATTGAACTGCAACTTCTAATCAGGTTAGAATGTGGAGATAAAGTGCTGGGTGTTTGCCTCATGATCTGGTCTAGAATTTGGTTTCTCTTAAATGGTATCTCTTTTAGAATTGTGGTGTCCAGGCCAGCCTCTAAGGAACTGCTGGTTTAAGATATTGTGGGAAATCACATCTTCCATGCAGTTAGAGTTTGTCTGGAGACTCATTGCTCAGCACTTTGTCAGCTGCTTTCTCCACTCACTAGCATCCAACTGCAAAAAATCTGTTGTGTAAAAGATTCATATCCAGGTCTCTGTAAGTAGGGACTGGCCTAAACCAATTTATTAGAAACATTTTTTGTACTCTGCTTACCTGCTACCTTGGTGGCTTTAGGGTTGGCAGTGGGCAACATAATTCCACAAAGTGAGTGTCAACAGAATGCACGGTCCCAAACAATTCCTGATGGAGTCTGTAGAATCAAAAGAACTAAATTAGAACATATTTTTCTGAAAGGTTTGAAGGTACAGTTGTCTTTTGATTACTTGAAAAAGAAATGCCTGTACCAGGAAAACATTATCCTGAATGCAGAAATATGATTTATGTTCCCTGTCACTGAAATTTCTTATTCTTGGCTTCTAATATCTGAGAGTCATATCTCCCAAAAATGCTTCAGTGGGATCCTGAATATACACTGCTAAATGATGTCCACACATGGGGCTTTTTGGGATATGTGAAGGAAACGCAGCTTTTTCTGAATAAGTGGTTGCTGACACTCCAACTGCTGAGTGGGTAACGGAGAAGGAGAGAAAGGATGACAGTCCCTGGAGCTTGATGGTGCCTTCTTGAAGCAGGTGAACTTGGGTTTGGAAAGGCAACTAGATAAAAAACTCTAGATTGCTTTTCTCTCCCTATGTGTCCATGCATCTCTGGAAGCCAAAGTTTTTTGCTTATGTCTTTGTTTTCTTTTAAAAAATATAATAATTTTAGAAAACAAATTTATTTTGAAATAATTGCAGATTTACAAAAAGATACACAGGTAGAACAGACAGTTCCATATACCCTTCAGCTAACTAGAATGTACTATTCTAACCATAGTATATTCATGAAAACTAAGAATTTCACTATTTCAAAACTATTAACTGATCTACAGACTTCCTTCATATTTTACCAGAATTTCTTTTTGTTTTATTTTGTTTTGTTTTTGAGACAGAGTCATGCTCTGTCATCCAGGCTGGAGTGCAGTGGCGCCATCTTGGCTCACTGCAAGCTCCGCCTCCTGGGTTCTGGGCCATTCTCCTGCCTCAGCCTCCTGAGTAGCTGGGACTACAGGCGCCCACCACCATACTCAGCTAAATTTTTCTATTTTTATTAGAGATGGGGTTTCACCATGTTAGCCAGGATGGTCTCGATCTCCTGAACTCGTTATTTGCCCGCCTCAGCCTCCCAAAGTGCTGGGATTACAGGCGTGAGCCACCACACCCAGCCTCAGAATTTCTAATAATGATATATTTATCTGTTCCAAGACCTAACCCAGAATACCACATTGCAATTACTGTCAGGTATATTACTTATGACTTGATGCATAACAAATTCCCACACATCTTAGTGGTTCAAAACCACACACATATTACTCACAGTTTCTCTAGGTCTTCAGTCCAGATGTAGGTGATGGCCCAGGCTAAGGCTCAGCTGGGGAAGGGTCTCCTTCCAAGCTCATGTAAGTGTTCTTAGGATTAACCTCTCTGACCTCATCAGGAAGAATTCATTAGTGAATTATTAGAATCACTTAAAAAATTAATACGAATTTATTAAAAATTATTCCAAAAAAGTGGAGAAGGCATGATTTCCCATTCTACACTGAGTTAGTTTACTCTGATACCACAGCTAGATAAAGACATTTCAAATATGGAAAACGAAGAACACTATACCTTATGAATACAGGGGCAAAAATCATCAAGGAAATATTAGCAAAACAAACCAGAAACATGTAAAAAGTATTACACATTATGTCAAGGGTATTTACCTCAGGAAAGCAAAATTTGGTTCAACATACAACAAGTGCTATGCACTATGTTGATATAATAAAGAACAAAAACCACATAATCATCTCAGAAGATGCATAGGCACTTGAGAATTCTCAAACTCCCTATGAGAAGGACATGCAGCAAATGAGGCAGATAAGGGAACTGTCTTCCTTTTAAAGGGGATCCATAAAAAACCAACCAACATATCATCATAAGTTATCTGAAAGGTTCACTAATTTCTCCAAGATTAGAAACAAGACAAGGATTTCCACTCTTGACACTTGTTTTTAACATTGTACTGGAGGATATAGACATGGCAATTAGTCTAGAAAAATAAATGTAAGGCTTCCAGTATGGAAAGGAAGTCAAACTATGTCTGTTGGCATATGACATGATCTTACGTATAAAATGTCCAAAGGGCTCTAATCAAATATGGTTAGAATTTAGAAATGAGTTCAACAAACTTCCAGTATATAAGGTCAACATATATAAAATCCTCTGAATTTCTATATGCTAGCAATTAACAATCTAAAACAAAAAATTCAGAATGTTCCATCTGAGATGACATCAAAAATAAGTTTATCAAGTTAAGTATAAGATATATACACAAAAACTATAGAAAACATTTTGAAAAAAATGGAAAAAAACCTTTGACTATTCATTGTTTATAAAGGTTAATGTTGTTAGCCTGGCAATATTTTCCAAATGGATCTATAGATTTAATGCAACCTCTATCAAAATCCCAGGTGACATTTCCTTTTTCTAAATTCACAAAGTTTATCTAAAATTCATATATAATGCAATAGACCCAGAGCAGCCTAAACAATTTTGAGAAAGAAGAAAAAAGGCTGGCATGGGAGATACATAATTCCTGCCTTCAAAACTCACTACAAAGTAATAATAATCAAGATTTATGGTACTAGTATAAGAATACAGATGTTGATCAATGTAATAGAATATAGTGTTCAAAAGTGAATACTTACATTTATAGTGAAACAATTTTATAATGTCACCAAATAAATTATATATGGATAAATATTTTTACTCAAATATTTCTGAAACAAGTGCATATTCCATGCAAGTCGAACTCCTGCCTCACACTGAAAATGTAATTGACTCAAAATGATCATATATCTCTATATAATAGCTACAAAGGTCCAAAATATAGAAAATACACAGGAATACATCTTCATGGTCTTAGGTTAAACACTCTTTTCTAAGATACGATGCTGAAAGCAAAAGGGAAGAAGAAAAAACAGATATATTAAACCTCATTAGAGGCCTATCAGATGGTGGAGGGTGGGCGGTGAGAGAGGATCAGAAAAAATAACTAATGGGTTCTAGGCTTAGTACATTGGTGATGAAATAATCTACATCAAACCACCATAACACAAGTTTACCTATGTAACAAATGTGCACTTGTACCCTGAAACTTAAAAGTTAAATTAAAAACCAAATATTTGCAAATTTTATAGGTGATAATGGTCTATTGTTAATCATATATATATGACAACATCTTAGAGCTCAAAAATAAAAAAGGCAAATATCTCAATCAAAAATGGAATTTATTCAAATACCCAATTCTCCAGAAAAGCTACAGTCATACCCAAATCACACGAAAAGACACTCAATGCCTTTTGCCATTATGAGATAGGAGACCGGCAAGTTGTTTTCTAGTCACAACCCTGCTGATCAAAACAAGATCTGGTCCAGACAGCATACAGTGAAGAAACTGGCAAAAAGAGACAAAGGGATCCCTGGTTGTCCTCATTGCTCACTGGCATGAGACATTCCCTCCAGCGCCATGACTGTTTATAAATTCCATGCCAACAACCTGGAATTTAACCACCTCTTTCCATGGCAACAACCCAGAAATTACCACTCCTGTCCTGGAAAGTTCTGAATAACCTGCCCATCAAATTTCATTGATCCACTCCTCAATTTACATGTAATTGAAAGTGGGTTTCCCTTAGTGTAAAGATAGTTGACAAGGGCCCATAGGTTACCAACAAACGCAACGCCTATGAGTTAGCCCTGCTCTTTAAGGAGCAGTACTGTTCAATAAAACATTTCTGTCTATCACCACTGTCTTGCCCTTAAACACTTTCCTAGGCAAAGCCAAGAACCCTGCCAGCTGAAGCCCCAAATTTGGGGCTCACCTGTCCTGCAACAATAGGGGAAGGGAAGTCTAAAAAAACATGATACATACTTCAAAAATCTAAAAGGTATCTTGCTATGTGACAAAATATAAGTTGGAAAAGGCAAAATACTGTGTAATTCCACCTATATGATTCTCTGGAAAAGGAGAAAAGGATAGTGATAGCAAAGAGCTCGGTGGTAACGAGGAGCTTGGGAGAGAGAAGGTGGGATGCGTGAAATACAGGAGGTTTCTTTGGGGCAGTGAAATTACTCTCTCTGATATTGTAATGGTGGATACATAATAATGTTTTCCGAATCCTGAAGAACTTTATAACACAAACAGTGTATCTAAATTATGCAAATTTAAAACCTTATTTAGTAGGTAGAGGGTTTCCAAGGAGGAATGCCCAAAAAAATAATATAACCATGTAATGAATGTATGGAATAACCTCACTAAAGAAAGTGGAGGAAAGCAATGGACCTAAGTAATTTGGGTAATCAGTGGATATTCTGAGGCTAAAAGCCAAAGTATTTATACCTATGTACTGTACTTTGCTTGGTAAAATTGTTTCCCATTGGGGTATAAGTTACCAGTTCTGAAACCACTCTGCATGGATGTTCAGGTAGTACGATTAAGTGAACAGCATCGACTTCTTCACAGGGAGAGTAAGAGACTACATACATCATTCATATGGTGCTGGATTAGATCATATGGTATCGGAAACATTAGTAGAAATTACACAATTATACAACTAGCCTGGAGTACAATTAAATACACAGTTAGCCTGGAGCACCTAGTAGTGGTTAAAGAAAAGACAATGCTAAACAACAAGAAAACCAACCAAGTCTGGAGCACCTACTAGTGGTTAAAGAAAAGAAAATGCTAACCAACAACAAAACCAACCAACCATACAACATTGAACCTTAATTATGTGGGTATTTCAAAATTATACCAGAGACAACTAAAAAACCTTCCAATAGCCAACCATGGAACAATTTGAACAATCAAATAAATTAGCATATGTAAAGTATAAAATAAATATCCATGTTTAGATGATGATATAAATAATTTATATAGAAATGAATAAATATGTAATAGTTAGAATAGACACATGTTTACGGTTGAGGGTTCAAATAAACTTGTAGACATTCTGCCAATAAGAAGGTAGATCATGAATCCCCACTTTTTTTTTTTTGAGATGGAGTCTGCAGTCTCGCTTTGTTGCCCAGGCTGCAGGGCAGTGGTGTGATCTCAGCTCACTGCAACTTCTGCCTCCCAGGTTCAAGTGATTCTCCTGCCTCAGCCTCCCGAGTAGCTGGGAGTACAGGCACGACCACTGTGCCTAGCTAATTTTTGTATTTTTAGTAGAGATGAGGTTTCGCCATGTTGCCCAGACTGGTCTCGAACTCCTGACCTCAGATGATCTGCCTGTCTCAGCCTCCAACAGTGCTGGGATTACAGGCATGAGCCATGGTGCTTGGCCCATGACCCCCACTTCTTGAATGTCTGTTGTGTTAGTGACTTTGTTCTGAAACATTCTATGGGGAAAGGGAAAAATAATAATAATTTCACAGTGTTTGATAATTTGATAAAAACCACCTCATCCAGGGGATCAAATTAACATTAACAGTGATAAAGCCTGTTGAGAGCCTATGCCCTTGGTATAATGTGAAGAGAATGGCACCTTTCCTCTGTCATCTTCCTCTCCTAAACCCACAAATCTAGTCTTATCATAAAAGAAACCTCAGAGAAA
Source organism: Homo sapiens (assembly GCF_000001405.40). NCBI lineage: Eukaryota > Metazoa > Chordata > Mammalia > Primates > Hominidae > Homo > Homo sapiens. The sequence goes on along the minus strand of NC_000015.10, from coordinate 24,119,126 downwards.
TCCCACATTAGGAATGTCAATGTCATCAAAAACTAGGAAACTCTAAGAAACTGCAACAGTCAGAGAAGTCTAAGGAGACATGATATCTAACTGTGCTGAGGTATCCTGGATGAAATCCTGGAATAGAAATCAGACATTAAGTGAAAACTGAGAAAATCTGAATAAAGTATGAAGAGTAGTTAATGATACTGTTTAAAATTGGTTAATTGTGACAAATGTCCTAAATTAAGAAGTTAATAAAAAGAGCAACTGTAGTGGGATATATGGAAAGTCTATGTACTGTATTTAAAACAATTCTGTAAATCCTAAATGACTCTAAAATGTATAAAGTTTCTTTTTATTTAAAGTCACTGCTGATCTTATAAAATAGAACATGAGCAATATGTTGATGGCCATTCATGGATCTCCTTAGCTTCATCACCTTCCTTAATCACTGAAGGTTGCAATTACTGTGATTTATCCTCTAATTTGTGTTTGTTATATTTATCTCTATGTTTATATTTCTAATATCCATACTGTTTAGTTTTTCCTGTCTTCAAAATTAGATGACATGTGTTTAATGTATACATGTCCCTAGTTTAATCATGAGAAATCATGAGACAAATCCATATTGTGGGACATCTTACAAAATATCTGACCTGTACATTTCAACAGGGTCAAGGTCAAGAAAAAGAAGTGAAGACTATGAAACTTGCAGATTGGAGAAGACCTAATGTGTCAGTTAGACCCTGCAATGGTGCCCAGTGATCCCCAACTGCAAGAAATTCCTGTACTTTGTTGAGTTGCCTCCTCCATGTCTCACATGACCAACACATGTGAACTCAACTTTTTTTGAACTCAGAGCTCCCCTAGACTGTGGCAACCTTGGTGGGAATGGAGTGGACACAGGTCTGACAAGTGCCACAAGAGTGTCTGACAGTATAAACAAATATCCTGTGAGAAGGATGCTGGGTCAAATATTGTACACTTATGCTTTGGGGTATCCACCAGGATAAATAAGTATCCCATGAAAGGCACACTGTAAACATCCAGGATACAGTTTCCTGGAGTCCTGTTGGGCAGGGTGATAATTTATAGTCACTATCCCTAGAGAGACCTCAAGAGATTATTAGACATAACAAAAATACAAGGGACGTACAGGTGATTTTATAAATTATGGCTCAAAGATCCCATGGAGAAGGAAGATAGAAATGGTGAAGTGTTACTTGAAAGTTTGCAGCAGAGTGCAACTCTCTGAAGACAGAAAATCCTGTATCTTGAGACTTTTTGCCTTAATCTTAGAAATATAAGCAGAGATTATTCTAAGTTGCTTTCAAATCCGATTCTTCATCCAGATCAACTGCATATTTTTTTCTCCCTCCCCTTTTATCCTTCGTATCCCATGAACGATGGTCATGTGAATCTCACTGTAAGCAGGGACTGCAGACGCCTGTGCATTGCTGTTTTCATGAAATGCCTTGCTCTGACCACTTGTTACTCTTGTCAGCTCCACTTGTTGATACTTAGAAAATGAAAAAGGCTTTGGTGTTCCCCAAAGAGTGTACTGAATGAAGAGGAAACTCTTATAATTTATAATTTAGAATGTTGAGCATATTTGTACCGAGAGTTTCAGCTTCTACTAGGGCTCAATTCAGTGAACAAGAAGCCCTAATCTCAAGTGTAGGAGTCATGCACCCTTTAAACTTGATTCAGTATTCAGACTAGAGGGCAGAGACAGCACTGGGTTCTTGCCTAAGGAAGTGGTTGGATGATGGGGTGTTTTCAATGGCATCTTTCTGAGAATTCTGGTGGCCAATCCAGACTCAGCCAATCCAGACTCATGGTAATGTTTAGGAGCTTAGTGCTCAGCACTGTGTCCTCTGTGCCTGGGACATTATGGTAGCAGAGTTTCATGTCTAATCACTTTTCCAGTCTTAACCCTGAGCACTCAGAGCTCCTCAACCCTCTTGCCACCTACGGATGAGTCTGTCCTTCTACACATCTACTTCTGTCTCCCTCATGGCCTGCCACTTGGTGATTTTTTTTTTCCTGAAGAATTTGGTCATGGATGATCTTAACAGTACACATCATAATAGACCATATATATGCATTGAAATGAAGAGGAAAATGGGATTGTACAAGTCACTTACCTTATAGAAACTCCTGTTATAATGAAATAAAAAGAGCAAACCTCCATGACTTAAGATTGCCAATTTAAATGAAACCATCCTTTCCTATGGGGTGAATTGTAAGACTAGAGGAGTAAGAAGGTTTACTGAATTATAAATGCCCCAAATAATAGCACCTGAGTTACTGCTATAATCTTCTCAGAAGTGAGAAATATGTTCAAGGTCAGCTGTGTCTCTCACTGTAGGTCTCCAGGATGCAGGAGTTTGTTTTCTCGCTGAAGCTATGAACATGGTATGGAGAATGTAGCCCATGATCACAGTCTGAAAAAGCAAGAGTCTTGACTTTGTGGATGTCCTTGGGAGTGTAGTATGCAGTCCCATGGCTTAGTAAGCTTTGTGGGCATGGTTCCTGGAAGATCCCTGGTGTTCCTCTGTAAAGTGGTGTGGCCTGTAAACAGGGAGCTGTGTTGGGAAAGATGAAACAGTCCTCCCTGCCGTGGGGATCTTTGTTTATCCAGCACATATCCAGAGTCAGCTCTCAGCCTCTGTCCATCTCTTAGATCACTGCATGGTGGGCTGGGGTACGTTGTACTTTCTTTCCTTTTTTCTATTAGGCTATTTCCACCTCTGCACAACACACTCTGTATCACTAACATGCCTCACCTTCATATATCTGATGTCTGTCTAAAGGCTCATTTCCACGTCTTTTTGAGCAGGAATTAACCTACAACTCCATGATTATAAACTTTTTTCATATCTAGTTAACTTTCCTCCATGATAATGTCTATTCTGTGGCTTTTGGGCTTGTCGCTTGAAATGGTTTGGCTGTGTCTCCACCCAAATCTCACCTTGAAATGTAATAATCCCTAAGTGTCAAGGGCAGGGCCAGGTGGAGAAAAGTAAATCATGGGGGCAGTTTCCTCCATACTATTCTCATGGTAGTAAACAAGTCTCACAAGATTTGATGGTTTTATAAATGGGAGTTCCCCTGCACAAGTTCTCTTGTCTGCCGCTATGTAGGATGTGACTTTGCTCCTCATTTGCCTTCTGCCACGATTGTGAGGCCTCCCCAGCCATGTGAAACTGTGAGCCAATTAAACTGCTTTCCTTTATAAATTACCCAGTCTTAGGTATGTCTTTATTAGCATCATGAGAACAGATTAATATATCACAAGACAATATAGATCCATGATGTGAGTGTCAAGAGAATGTGTGGTCCCATAAATTCGTGATGGAGTCTGCATGACGAAGAAAACTGAATTATCACAGTGTTTTCTCAAAGGCTTAAGGCATCATTTCCTTTTAAAACTTGGGGAATAAAAGTAATCCCTGTACTAAGAAAACACCCTTAATGCACAAGTATTTATGTTCACCATCACTGGCGTTTCTCAATCTTCTCTTCTAATGTCTGGAAGTCATGTCTTCTAAAATGTCTTTATAGTGAGATCCTACAAAGACACTGACAGAAAATGCCTGAAAACAGGGCCTTCTAACATATGTGAGAAAGGCGTCTTTCCTTGGAAAAGTGGTTATGAACACAATTGATAACTGGGTAATGGGAAGTGTGATGGGAAAGAAGAAAGTGGATGAGTGTCCCTGGAGCTTGATGGTGTCTTTCTGAAGCAGGTGCCCTGTGTAGGAATGGGGGATAATAAGGCAAGCTACTTTGCCATAGTCTCCCTATATCTCCATTCATCCTCTGATCTGTGGTTTTATTGTGGTTTAAATCTGTCTTTGTTATTGTTGTTTTATTTTCTGGTACCTGAATATTACATTTCAAGAAATATTTTTATTTTATCATAGTTTTAGTTTTATAGAAAGTAGTAAAGATAATAGAGTTTCATATATCCTACAGCTTCCTGAAATGTTAGCACCTTATATCACCGTAGCATATTTATGAAAACTCAGAAATTGACAGTGGTACAAAACTATTAACTGGAAAAGATTTTCTTCATATTTTATGAGGTTTTCCACTAGTGTCATTTTTCTGTTCTAGGATCTAATCCAAGATACCACATTACATTTACTGTCAGGCATATAACTGACCGATTGTTGTCTACATAGTTTAGACTTTCCAACCCAGCCCTACACAGTACTTACAGTTTCTCTAGGTCAGATGCCTGGCAGAGATTTCAAGGGAAGGCTCATCTGGGGAAGGATCCCCTTCCAAGCTCCTGGGATTCTTGGGAGGATTCAATTTCTGTCCAGGTCAAGATGACTTCACTGGTGTGTTATTCAAAGCCTTTTGGGAATTAATAACAATCAATAAAAACAGACTAGTAAAGAACCTTTCCTAATGCAATGTATGAAGCCAGTGTTCCCTGACACCACAGCTAGACAAAGACATTTCAAGAAAAGAAAATTACAGACCAATGTGAAACAGGCAAAAATTATCAAGGAAATACTATCAAAATTAACTAGTAACATATAAAAAGGAGTATACACTAGGAGCAAAACTATTTATCCCTGCAATGTAAGTCTGGTTAAACATACAAAAACAACTGGTGTTATAAACTATACTAACAGAATTTTTTAAAAAGACTCATGGTCACCTCTAAAGACACAGAATAGGCATTTGACAAATTCCAAACCCATTCATGATAAAAGCTCTGGGAAAATTAGGCATAGAAGAAAACTTTCTAAATCTACAAAGAGCATCCATGGAAAACTCACATAACATGAGGAAAGACATATAAGCCAACAGAATAGAGTTGAGCACCCCAAAATCAATCTTTATATATAGGGCAAACTTATTTTCAAAGTTGAAAAATTAATTCAACATGAAAAAATAGTTTTTCAACAAATGTTGCTGGGAGAAAGGGATATCCACATGCAAGTTAAACTGTTTCCTGCACCATATATGTATTTGACTCAAAATAGAATATGTGGCTAAATGTAAGAGCTAAAACTAAAAATCCCACAGAAGAGAATATAAAAATAGATTTTCATGGCCTTACATGAAACAATGGATTCTAACATGTGACACAAAAGTACAAGTGACAGAAAAAAAAAATAGATACATTGAACTTCATGTGGATCAATACCTTTTAAGATGCAAAGTACACCATCAAGACAACTGAAATAATGGAAGAAGATATTCTCAAGTCATATAACTGTTAGGAGATTATTATCCAGAATATATGAAACATTCAGGCATGCACCACCACACCCGGCTAATTTTTGTATTTTTAGTAGAGATGGGGTTTCGCCATGTTACTTAGGCTGGGCTCAAACTCCTGGCCTCAAGTGATCCACCCACCTGAGCTTCCCAAATTGCTGGGATTACAGGCATGAGCCACCATGCCCAGCCTCATTCTTCATTATTATTTTCTAAATTTGTATTTCCAAATAATATATTGTTCAGGTTTTTTGTCTTCAACATTAGACAAATACGTGTATAAATGAATGTTTAATCTTACTCAAATTATGAAAAAACATAACAAATCCATATTGCGATACATCCTATGGAACACCTGACAAGTTCTTTTCACTAAGATCAAGGGCAAAAAAATAAGTGAAGACCCAGAAACTGATACAGATTAGACAGGACTTCATGTGGCAGGTAGGTTCTAAGATGCTTTCCAATGATCCACACCTCTAAATATGCAGAACCCTATTCTAATATCCTCACTGAGGTTTAGACACGCCATACCACATGTATAAACAAACAGAAAAGGGGCAAAATGTATGGAACAATGGTTTGTAAGAGAGATTATATCAAACAGTGAAGGACAGTGATACCTGAGACATACAATACTGTGACATGAGCTCTACCATTGCCTCAAGATACCACCTTGGGAGATGTTCCAGGCTGTGGTGTGTCATGGACTTTGGAAGTCACTGTGAGTTGAGAAGATGCAATTGAGAGTCGAGTACAGATTGGATGGATTGCATCTAGCATTTCTTCACATCCAGTGGTAAGAATGGGAGACAGCATCCATGTCAGCATCCATGCAGGCTGGACTGCTAGTGTCATCAGTACTCACTGAAATATGGTTCACAGAAGTACAGGAGCAACGCAGAAACAAAGGCAAAGGCACAAAGAAACGTTATTTGAGTGAAGATTTAATATTGCACAAAGACTGACACTTTTACATGTTGTACCAAAACCAAGGCTTAAAAAATAACCATTCGAGATAAAGTAAATGATGCGTGTAAGTCAAATGAACCAACCAAGTCGACACAAACCTACTTTTACTCTACAATTTTCATACATGTGGCTGATAAACTCACTATATTATAAAATAATGAAAGTGGAGCTTTCTATTTATAAGAGCAGAACAGAATTATCAGAAAAATAAGGATAAAAATATTTTTACCTCCATTTGTTTCCCTATAAAACCTGAAGTTTGCTTTATATTTGGAAAATAATTTGTCACTTTCTTCACTACATCAATTCCACTGCCATTCTAGTTTGCGTGGAGTATACGGTTGCTATTTATACGCAGTAAAATTAAGTTAAATGGTGCCAGGCTGCAATATCATAGATGAGGGGTTATTACTGTTGTTATTTTAACCAAGATCTGTCATTGAAATTCTCCGTGTACAGTATTGAAGCCAAGAGACCCTGACTGCAGCCCTAACTGGAAAATCAAATGCCCATCTACTGATTTGGAGCACTTATAAAATATCAGTGTTCACGCTCTCTTGGTTGCTCACATCTCATAAATCTTGGACACATGTCCCCTATGTCCCCAGAATAATTTTAGATCATTATATTGATTGTTACCTTTCTTGTACAGTAGACATGTGTTATTGAGTTTCAGCGACTCATTCTGTATGAATGCTTCACTCACAAGAGGATGTGTTGTCAACATAGTCGTGTTCGAATTAAGACACTCCTCACTGCAAGCTCTCAATAAATTCTGGTCTGTTTGTTGGAGTCCTGCTAAATTATATCTGAAAATGGGGCTTTTTGAGACATGTGAGTAATAGGCATCTGTCTTTCAAAAAATCGTTACGTAGTTAGCACCAGATGCTAAAACTGGTGACTGAAAAATGCGGAATATGATGAAGAAGATGAAAGAGGATGAGTCTCTGGAACTTGGGGGGATCTTCCTGAAGCAAGTGTACCGGTGTTCAAGTTGGTAAATCAATATGGAAGGATGCTTTGCTATTCTCTCTCTACATGCCCTTTCATCTCCTGAGCTGAAGCTATTCTGTCTGTGCTTTGGAATTTTTTTCATATCACATTTAATACTTTTTTCAAAAACATTTTTTCTTTGAAATAATTTTAAATACACAGAAATATGCACAGATAGTACAGAAAGCTTTAGACATCTTTGAATTACATGCAACGTAATAGATTATGTAACCATGAGCCCTAAAAAATAGTTGGCACAAAACTATTTATTGAAGTATAGGCTTTTTCCATATTTTACTAGGCTTTTAAGTAAAAAATGTCATTTTTCTGTCCAGGATACCACATTGCATTGACTGTCAGGTGTATTATTTATTGCTGAATAACAAATTGTCACACACTAAGTGGCTCTTACTCACGGTTTCTCTGTATCATGAATCCAGATGTAGATGATGGCCAAGGATGAGGTCTCAAGTGAAGGTTCAGCTGGGGAAGGCTCCTCTTCCAAGTTCGTGTGATTGTTGTTAGGAGTCAAGGCCCTGTGCTGGTTGAGATGACTTCACTGGTGAACTATTCCAAACCTGAAAATAATTAATAAAAATCTATCACAAACTCTTCATAAAAATTTAAACAACTGTAAAAGTGGAGAAGATATCACTTCCTGATGTATACTATTAGTTAGTTTACACTGACATTACAACTAAAGCAAGACATTTCATGAAAGAAAAATTAAGGCCAATATGTTTTATAAATAAAGGGTAAATGTCTTCAATAAAATGCTAGCAATACAAATCAGCAAATGTAAAAAGAATTATACACCATCATCAAGGGTATTTGTCTCAGGAATGCAAATTTGGTTCAACATATAAAATAATTAGTGTCATGACCTATAAGAATAAAATAAAAAACAAAAGCCATATGATCATCTCAAAAGATGCAGGAAAGGCACCTGACAAATCCAAAATCCATTTTTGATAACAGTATACAACAAATTAAGCCTATAAGGAAAGTTTCTTTATTTTAAAGGGCATCCATGAAAAACTCAGTATCATCATAATTTAATTTAAAGGCTCAATAATAGTATAAACTTGGACATACAGGTCAAAGGAATATAGTAGAATTCAATGTCCAAAAATTAATCTTTACCTTTATAGTCAAATGATTTTATAAGGTTGCCAAGCCAATTCAATATGGAAAAATATATTTGTAACAAATGTTGCTAGGACAATTGAATATCCACAAGCAAGTTGAACTTCTCACTCATACCATATACATAATTGGCTCAAAATAATCATATATCCAAATGTAAGATCTAAATAGACCAAACCCTTAGAAGATAATATAGAAATACATAATTTGGGTCTTAGGTTAAACAATAACTCCTATAATTTCTAAGATATGATACTTAAAGCCCAAGAAAAGGAAATAAAAAATGAATATATTTAACTTTGTGAGAAGTAAAATCTTCTGAGACTCAAAGTACATAATTAAAAGTAAAAAGATAATGCAAAGAATAGAAGAAAATCTTCACAATCACATAGCAGAAAACAATCTATTAGCCACAATATATAAAATATTTTACAACTCAAAAAGGCAAATATCACAATCAAATTGGTGAACTATCTGAACTGACATGTATCCAAAGATACTATAGTCACGTCTAGTAAGCACATCATATGAGGTCTAAGTCTTTTGTCATTAGGAACATGCAACTCTAAACAACCATGAGATACATTTCACAAATCTAAAGGGTATATTGCAAAAAAAAGTAAATTTAAAAAGGCAAAATATTTGTGTGATTTTGGTCGTGTGACACTCTGCAATGTGAAAAAGTATACAGATAATAAAATGTTTGGTATTTACTAGGAGCTTGGAAAAGAGGCAGGTCAAATTGGTGAGGTACAGCAGATTTGCTCTAGGCAGTGAAATTATTCTGGTATCATACTGTAATGATAAATGCATGATTATATTTTAGAAATCCTAAATAACTTTATAATACAAAAAATGAATTTAAAATATACAAATTAAAAACCTCCTAGAGTAGGTGGCAGATAGCATGGGGCTATACACATAATAGAATGAAATAACACATCAGTGAAATAACCTCACTGAATGGAGTGGTGGAAAAGCAACTGACCCAAGGAACGTAGCAAGTAAGTGGATACTCTGAGTCTAAAGGGTAAAGATTTATCCCTAAAAACTTTAGTTGGTAAAGTTATTTCTCATGGCCATATACATTTCTAATTCTGAAACCACTTATACAAGTCTTTCAGATTATGTGATTAAATAACAGAAGCATCTTTATCACTGTTAGTGTGGTAGGCTACATACAAGTAAGCGGGAATAGGTGCAGTGATTCACGTGGTACTGGATTAGATCATGGGGTGCTGGAGGATTATTAGGAATTCATGTTTAACTTAAAGATACAGATACATGATAAAATATTTGTGTGCGTGTGTATGTCTCTGTGTGTGTGTGTGTGTGTGTGTGTGTGTGAATCAGTGTACATAGATGTATTTGCTCTGTCAGCACACAAGATCACGAATCAACAGATGCCCCAGGAGCAATGAATATGCCAAGAGCCCAGATCTCCATTTCTAATTCAATTTTCCCATAAAAAGAACTAGGTCTCTGTGAAAAAAAAAATGTTTAATATCAGGCTTGTGAGGAAATCCACACAATTAGCTTAAGCACCTAGTAGTGCCAGAAAAAATAAAACGCCAAACAACAGTGCAAACAACTAACCAACCACATAACAACAGCGAAGTTTCATTATGGTAGTCTTTCAAAATGACAAACGATCCAACTGAAAGACCTTCCAATAGCCAACAGTGCAAACATCTAACCAACCATATAACAACAGCGAAGTTTCATTATGGTAGTGTTTCAAAATGACAAACGATCCAACTTAAAGACCTTCCAATAGCCAACACTGCAACAATTTAAACAAATAAATGAAGTAGTAGAAGGAAAGAGTAAAACAAATATCCATGTTTGCATACTGATAAAAATGACTGCATAAATACAACGATGATTGGAGGAGAATAGACACTTTCAGGATGAAAGGTCCAAATAACTTTTGGTAAACATTCTGCTCATAAAGTGGAGCATTTTTTGTTTTGTTTTGTTTTTTGTTTTTCAAAATGGCAGATTGGAGACTTTGTTAGTGTGCCTCACCTGCTTAGAAAGAGCAAAATAGTATCTAGAGATTCACACTGTGAATTTGTATGCAACAAACCCAGGAACTCAACAGAAAAAGTGAAAGAACCTGTTGAAAGGAGCAGCAGGCAGCAACTTGCACCATGTGTCAGATGGACAACTGAGCCTTCAGAGTGCAAAAGGAGGAGACTCTCTCTGTGTTACATTCCCACTGGGGAACCAGGCAGTCGAGGACACAGGGAAGTGCCTTAACCCTGCCCAGCACTGGAGCTGACTTACAGAGGAGGGGACCATGAAAGAAGGAGTGGCACCTGGGTGTGCTGCGTGTGCACTCCCAGATCTCAGCAGGGACAGAGGGAAGATATTCCTGACCCTAATTCACAGAAGATCTTGCAGAAATCAGCCAAGTAACCCAGGCAGCAGTCACGCACTGGAAGAAGCTCCCAACTGAGGGAGAAGCTGACCAACTAAGATTTGTATTTGATCTAATACTGAGCAGAGGATGAACCCCCTAAGACCCGAACCAAGGGGCATGCAGGAAGCTTTCTTGTGCCAGGGTCATGGGAGTTGGGTACTGCTACTTCACATGTCAAATCAAGGGGTGTGGCCTCAGAGCTACCGTTTCAGTTTCAATCTCCAGTGGGAAGTCTTGCAGCCTGGGGCAGGTTTGTGTTCTCAGCCTAGACTGCCTGAGACTTAGCTGACTGTCGTGGGTGTTTGCCAGCAGAAGTCTGCATGTGTAAGACCTTCTGTGTCAAGGTCGTGGGAATTGACCTGCCACTTGCTACCCCTCTCTCCATGTACAGACTCTCATGTAGCAGAGGGTGTTCTCCTCCCTGGAACATTATCCCAGTGGTCAGGGAACTGTCCACTGAATCCCACTGTGGCTTCTACTTACACCCACACTTGGAGAGGCAGAGTATGGACTTTCCTGACCCAGTCCACACTCGGCTTTGCCCCTCTACCTGTCCTAGTAGCAGAACAGGAACAGTGACTTTTCAGAGTTCCGCGTCACTTCCCATCAGCTGACTACTTCCCCTGGGTAACAAAGGTTAAGCATAAATCCCACCACCGTGACTGCAGCTGGCTCTCTCCTGCAAGTGCCACCTTCTGGCCCACGGTCAACCAACACAGTCCATTACAACATCTGCTGGCACACTAACATGGTACTGGTATAAATGTAGACATACAGACCAGAGGAACAGAACAGAGACCCCAGAAATGAAGCCAAATACTTACGATTAACTGATTTTCAACAGAACAGACAAAAACATACACTGAGGAATGAACACCCCATTCAATAAAACGTGCTGGGAAATAAGATAGCCACATGCAGAAGAATGAAACTGGATCCTTATCTGTCACCATAAATAAAAATTAACTCAAGATGGATTAAAGACTTAAATGTAAGACACGAAACCATAAAGATTCTAGAAGAAAAACTAGGAAAAAATCTTTTGGACATTAGCCTGGCAAAGAATGTTTGACTAAGACCCCAAAAGCAGCTATAACATAAATAAAAACAAATAAATGGGACTTAGTGAAACTGAAAAGCTTCTGCAGAGCAAAAGAAATAATCGACAGAATAAAGAAACAACCTACAGAATGGGAGAAAATATTTGGAAACTGTCCATCCAACAAAGGACTAATCCAGAATCTTCAAGAAACACAAACAAATCAGCAAGAAAAAAATAAATAACCCCATTAAAAAGTGGGGAGATGACATGAACAGGCAAAAGAAGATACACAAATGGCCAGCAAACATATGAAAAAAAAATGCTCAACATCACTAATCATCAGGAAATGCAAATTAACACCACAATGCGATACCAATCTTACCCTAGTCAGAAGGATCATTATGAAAAAGTCAATAAATGATAGACATTGGTGTGGATGAGGTGAAAAGGGAATGCTTAGACACCCTTGGTGGGAATGGAAATTAGTACAACCTGTATGGTAAACAGTATGGAGATTTCTCAATGAACTTTTAAAAGCAGAGCTACCATTCAATCTAGCAATCCCACCACTGGGCATGGACCCAAATGAAAAGAAGTCATTCTATCAGGCACCACCTCCAGTCTTCCTGGACCCGGCAATTCGGGGGTTTCAGGCTTGGGACAAGTGCAGGGTTCTCCATAAAGGCAGCCTCGGTAGTGCACCCGACCCCTTGCTTAAACAAATTTACAAGAGAAAAACAAACAACCCCATTAAAAAATAGGCAAAGCACCGGGCGGGGTGGCTCACGCCTGTAATCCCAACACTTTGGGAGGCCAAGGCGGGCAGATCACGAGGTCAGGCGATCGAGACCATCCTGGCTAACATGGTGAAACCCCATTTCTACCAAAAATACAAAAAATCAGCCAGGTGTGGTGGCATGCACCTGTAGTCCCAGCTACTTGGGAGGGGGAGACAGGAGAATCGCTCGAATCTGGGAGGTGGAGGTTGCAGTGAGCCGAGATCGCGCCACTGCACTCCAGCTTGGGTGACAGAGTGAGACCCAGTCTCAGAAAAGAAAAAAAAAACTAGCAAAGGAGAAGAACAGACAATTTTCAAAAGACGACACACATGCGGCCAAAAAGCATATGAATAAAAGCTCAGTATCACCGATCATTAGAGAAATGCAAATCAAAACCACAATGAGATACCATCTCACACCAGTCAGAATGGCTATTATTAAAAAGTCAAAATAACAGATGCTGGTGAGGTTGCAGATAAAAAGGATCACTTACACACTGTTGGTAGGAGTGTAAGTTCATTCAACCATTGTGCAAAGCAATATGTCAATTCCTCAAAGAGCTAAAATCAGAACTACCATTCAACTCAGCAATCCCATTACAGGGTATACACCCAGAGGAATACAAATCATTCTTCCAAAAAGACACATCAACATGAATATTCATTGAAGCACTACTTACAAGAAAAAAGACATGGAATCAACTTAAATGCCCATCAATGACAGGATGGATAAAGAAAATGTGGTACATGTGTATCATGGAATACTATGTAGCTGAAAAAAAGAATGAGATCATGTCTTTCACAGGAACATGAATGGAGCTAGAAGGTATTATCCTTAGCAAACTAACACAGGAGCAGAATACCAAATTATCACATATTCTCACTTTTAAGTGGGAGCTAAATGATGAGAACTCATGAACACAAAGAACGGAACAAAGGACACTGGGGCCTACTTGTAAGTGAAGGGTAGAAGGAGGGAGAGGAGCAGAAAAAGTAAATATTGGGCAGTAGGCTTAGTACCTGGGTGAAAAAATGATCTGTGCAATAAACCTCCATTACACAAGATTACCTATATAACAAAACTATACATGTATCCACAAACCTAAATATATAACGTTAAAAAAATCAAAATCATATAAAAACTATAAAAACTAAAAAATACTAAACTGACCTGCTTTTCAAATAAAGTTATATTGCTTGCATATAAACCATAAAACCCTATAAAAACCATAGAAGAAAAACCATAAAAACCATAAAAACCATAAAACCTATAAAAACCATAAAAACCCTAGAAGAAAACCCAGGCTTTACCATTCAGGACGTAGGCATGGGCAAGGACTTCATGTCTAAAACACCAAAAGCAATGGCAACAAAAGACAAAATTGACAAATGGGATCTAATTAAACTAAAGAGCTTCTGCACAGCAAAAGAAACTACCATCAGAGTGAACAGGCAACCTACAAAATGGGAGAAAATTTTCGCAACCTACTCATCTGACAAAGGGCTAATATGCAGAATCTACAATGAACTCAAACAAATTTACAAGAAAAAAACAAACAACCCCATCAAAAAGTGGGAAAAGGACATGAACAGACACTTCTCAAAAGAAGACATTTCCGTCTCTACTAAAAATACAAAAAATTAGCCGGGCGTAGTGGCGGGCGCCTGTAGTCCCAGCTACTTGGGAGGCTGAGGCAGGAGAATGGCGTGAATCCGGGAGGCAGAGCTTGCAGTGAGCCGAGATCCCGCCACTGCACTCCAGCCTGGGCGACAGAGCGAGACTCCGTCTCAAAAAAAAAAAAAAAAAAAAAAAAGAAGACATTTATGCAGCCAAAAACACATGAAAAAATGCTCACCATCACTGGCCATCAGAGAAATGCAAATCAAAACCACAATGAGATACCATCTCACACCAGTTAGAATGGCAATCATTCAAAAGTCAGGAAACAACAGGTGCTGGAGAGGATGTGGAGAAATAGGAACACTTTTACACTGTTGGTGGGACTGTAAACTAGTTCAACCATTGTGGAAGTCAGTGTGGCGATTCCTCAGGGATCTAGAACTAGAAATACCATTTGACCCAGCCATCCCATTACTGGCTATATACCCAAAGGACTATAAATCATGCTGCTATAAAGACACATGCACACGTATGTTTATTGCGGCATTATTCACAATAGCAAAGACTTGGAACCAAGCCAAATGTCCAACAATGATAGACTGGATTCAGAAAATGTGGCACATATACACCATGGAATACTATGGAGCCATAAAAAACGATGAGTTCATGTCCTTTGTAGGGACATGGATGAAATTGGAAATCATCATTCTCAGCAAACTATCGCAAGAACAAAAAACCAAACACCGCATATTCTCATTCATAGGTGGGAATTGAACAATGAGAACACATGGACACAGGAAGGGGAACATCACACTCTGGGGACTGTTGTGGGGTGGGGGGAGGGTGGAGGGTTAGCATTGGGAGATATACCTAATGCTAGATGACGGGTTAGTGGGTGCAGCGCACCAGCATGGCACATGTATACATATGTAACTAACCTGCACATTGTGCACATGTACCCTAAAACTTAAAGTATAATAATAATAATAATAAATAAAATTAAAAAAAAGAAAAAATACTAAACTCAGCTACTTTTCAAATAAGTTATATTGCTTCACAGTTGCTGTATCTTATAACAAATAATCCTAATTCCTTTCTCCTGTCCTTTGCATTATTGCTGATATCCACTTCATATATATATGTGTATATATAAACATGTACACACACATATACAAACACACATGCACATGTGCATATATCTGTACACATATAGACTTATACATAAGATATATACATGGGCATATATTATTTAATAATTTTTCTATTTTTTCATGAAATTGCTTTCTCTTATAATAAACTAAGAATATAAAAATGTTACACCAATAAAAAGTTAAAATTATATATAACTGATATTTTTATAAATACGAGATGGAAAAATGTAAAATGCTCAATGAGAACCACAAAAGCCAGAAAATGAATGGAAGATGAAAATATGAAGAAGGAACAAGGACAACAAATCGAAAACATTGACAAATATGATAAATATTAATCCAACTGCATCGCTTACCACTTTGAATGTCAGTGGTCTAACTGCACCAAGTAAAAGACACAGATTTACAAAGTGAATCAAAAAACAAGACACAACTGTTATTTATAAGCCCAATCTAAATATAAAGACAAATAAAAGTAAATGAATGGAACAAAATGTACGATGCTAACTCTAATCAAAGTAAACAAGAGGAGCTATATGAATTACAGGCAGAGCAGACTTCAAAGCAAGAAAAGTTATCAGGAATAAAGAAGGGCATTACATAGAGATGAAGAGCCATTCTTCCAAGAAGATGTCCTAATTCTTAAAGCCTGTGAGCCTGATAACAGAGCATAAACTATGAGGCAGAAATCAAGAGAACCACAAGGAAAAAGATGAATTCAGTATTATAGTTGGAAACATTAAAACCCTATATCAGATACGGACAGATCTAGCAGGCAGTAATTCAGGAGTGAAAAGCTGAACTCAACAGCACCAACAAGCAACTGGGCATAACTGACACCTACAGTCTCCTTCCCTCAACTACTCCAGAGGACACATTCTTCTTAAGCTCACATGGAATATTCAGCAAAATGTGCCACATTCTGGGACAAAAAATACCCCAACAATTTTTAAAAAGTAAATCATACAATGTCAGCTGTCAGACCACAGTGGAATTAAAATAGAAATCAAAGGATGAATGGAATGATAACTGTAATATCCCAAAACGCATTGAGATTAAACAACACACTTCCATATAATATATGGATCAAAGAAGATATCTCCAGAGAAATTTTTTTAAATTAACTAAATGAAAATAAAAACACAATTTATCAAAATTTGTAGGATGAAAGGAAAGCAGAACATATAGGCAAATAAATACTATTGAACACATATATAGGAAATGACGAAAAGACCAAAAATCTGTCATCTGTGTTTCCACCTTTGGAACCTAGAAAAGGAAGAATATATTAAATCTAAAGTCAGTAAAAGAAAAGCGATAACGTTGTTAACAGACTAAAACAAAGGAAAAGTTAAAGCAACTGGATTTTTCAAACACATATTATCTTAATAGTTCTCAGAACACAGAGGCACCCAAAATTAACAGGGCAAACAAAGCACCCCAACACCCCCCTTGCTTACGGGCATGCAGCCATGACCCCCTCAGAAATGGGAACCTCAGGATTTAGAAATGATCAGTCTCGGGCTACTGAGGCCGGGCAGTATCATTTCCTCCGAAGTCACGCTGTACATTTTAGAATAGCTAAATAATAGATTTTTAGTGTTCTCACCATAAAGTATTAGCTGGTGAGTTGATGCCCATGTTAATTAGCTTGATTGAATCTTCCCCAATGAATACAAGAATCAAAATATCACACTGTTATCCATAAATATACGCAATGTGTCAACTAAAAGTTTTGGTAAATTCTGTATCTATGAATAATTCACAGATAGGAAACGTAGGTAAGTAACAATTGTTATGTCCATAATATAAAAGGGCATATGTGACAGAAAGCAAGCTTTTTAAATGTACGTTACGGTCTGGGAAACACGGAGAAATCCTGACGTTTGAAGAAGAACAAACAGGGACGACGACACAGGCAGGCACCGCCTCAGGAACAAGCGCGCTTCGCGGAGAAGCTACCAGAAAGCCCAACGCGGACCCGGCAGACATCCGCCCTGAGTTCCCCTGTAGATCTCACCGCCCTCTCCCCCTGTCAGCCGCGCCCTCTGATCACCGCCCTCCACCTTCCTCCCTCACTCCCTGTCAGCCTCGCCCTCCACCCGCGGCCCTCACGCCCCACGTGGGCCTGGCTCCCGCCCCCAAGCCCAGCCTGCGCGGCAGCCTCCGGTTCCCCTCACTGCGCAGCTGCGACCCCCGCACCCGCACTTCCCTTCAGGCTGCTCCCAGCCTCACCTGTGTGGGCGCCAGGTGGAGAGGAGACTGCAGATCTGAGTTTTCTGGTCCATGGAGCCCACCTACATCTGCAAAAGGACGGAGGGGGCAGAAACCTGCCCTGGCGGGGAAGTGAGGGTCTGAGCGATGGAGAAAAGGCGGCGAACAAGAGCAGCCCCATGAGCCCTGCAGTCAGGCAGCCGGGGGTCCTCTTTGCTCTTCTCCACCCTCCTTTCTCCCAGACCCACACCCCACTGACTTAGCCCAGGAGCCTCCCCAGGGGACAGGGCCCACTCACTCCTCAATGTCCTTCCCATAGGCTGAGCTCATGGGCTGGGGTAACATCTCAGGGAACCAAACCGACATTCGAATCCCTCCCCACAGAGCGCAGTCCTCAGGGATCAGCCCTCCCTGCCTCCCCTGCCCAGTCCCTCCATGGTCTGCCCTTCCTGCTCCTGCGTCCTCACCAATTACTCATCCCAGTGGTCCTAGAAAATCCACCGTCCTCTTCTCATGGCCTGGCCTGTGCCAGGCACACACGTTTTCCTCCTCGCTTTCCCTCCCCTGTCTCCTGGACCCACTGCGCCTCACTCTCCAGCATCTCCTCCAATGTTCCTCCTCCTGGAGGCTTCCCCTGTCCATCCCACCCCAGGCCTGAAACCTGTCCTCTCAGTTCCCAAGGGCAGCTCTTCCACCTTACAGTTTAATTTTTGTCAAGTTTTCTGAAACCCTATTGGACAGAAGCATCACAGAACATGGCAACTTTGTCTATGGTGTCTCTGAGCCCCACACATGTCCTGGACAAAAAGCAACTCTGAAAATTCTCTGGTAATCTATAAAAGTATAAATCACTTTTAAAATATTATTATCTGATGAAAGAAAATAAATTGAAGTTCCCACTTCTTTTCTACAGACGATAATCGGAAAACATTTGCTGTGTGGAGTTGTATGCACAAATTTTCGGAGTGGCTTTTTTTTTTTTTACTGAAGAAGCAATTTTGGTATTTACTCATCAAAGAGTAAGAGAAGAATACACACCTATATTATGAGCCATAAGTATAAGGAAATGCCTTGCAGACGTTTACAAATACTATGTAGAAGGAATCAGACATTCAAGCCAGTATCTATAAATTTCAGGTAAAAGAAAAACAATATGCTGAAGTTTATTCGTGCATATTAACAAAATAACTGGTCTTTGTGTGCTGGGAGTCTTGATGTACCATCTATTCAAATTAATGCGTTTGAACCTTGCAAATTAGAAGAAACTACGCCACATACACAACCCTTTTTAAATATGAGTCTCTAGCAAATTTTGTCTTGTGGTTCCTAGCAAACTTTCTGCACCTCTTCAACTAGAAGTATTTCAGAGGAAATTTGTGGAAAACAATTATAGAGAATGGGTGATGTTTCCATTAATTTAATGGAGTGATAAATTATTAAAATAAAGATATTTTGAAAAATGATTATGAATAATTAAAATAAAAGGCATTAATATGCAATAAAAAATTTAAATTTGGTCATACATGATGTTTATGTGATGATAAAAAGTACGTTTACACAGAAAGTGTCAAAGGCCTTTGCACACCAAAACAAACACCATTTCATTTGTTCAAAACAAATTCTGTGTCATTTGTTTTCAGACAGCAAACAGAATGATTCTTTGACACACTCAGTCTTTCCAAGAAATAACCAAGTTCCCGAACCAACACCAGAAGTAGAGCAAGAAAATGTTGGTGTTTCCCATGAAGACACCACAGAGACAGACTCAACTCTCCTGCATCTACTTAGGCACTGTCTTGGATAGGCGTGGTGTGGAGGAGGTAAACTTATCTAGTGAGTTGTCTGTGTCTGTGCAGGAAGCACCCAGGGATGTTTGTTTTGGAAAAATACAAAAGTATGCATTTGGTTGTACATGATGGCTATGTGACCAAGAAAAGAGTGTTTTCTTTGTGTTTAATACAAAAGTTTTAAACACACTTGTACACAAAACCAAAAACCAAGATGTAACTTTACAGTGCCAGGACTCAAGGGGAAATGTGCCATTGGTCAGAAAGAAGAATGATTATTTAACAAATTCAAGCTCATACAAAATAACTGAATTCCCCACCCCACCCAACAGGGAGCTCCTCCCCTTGTGCATGCAGACCCCACAGAGAGGTTCTGAGCTCAGAGGCGCCCTGCTGGTCCTGCCTTTGATGTGCATCATCTGGAGGAGGAGACCCATGTCCACAGCATCATCTACAGCAACGCAGGAGGCACCCAGGGCTGCATCTCCAGGTTTTCCCACCACTTGCTGTTGTTGAAAGTATGAAATACATAAACTGAAGAATGGTGTTCATGGATCTTATAAGATTAACCAAGACATTACAGACATAAGAGACAACAGTGATATTCTGAAACTCTAAAGCCACTGATGGATTCAAAGTCCAGCTGAGAGTATTGGTGTAGGTGAAAGGCATGGAGATTTTTAATCTTTCACTTCATTATGGAAAAGCACACTCAATAAGAGAATGGTCACAAAATTATTGTATTAAATGAAGTCTGTTAGCAACTAAGAAACTGTTGCATTTGCACAGAGACAGGGGAATAAACCAATGAAGAAAGAAAACAGCATAAATACAGACGTGTATATATGAACAAATCATTTGTAAGTCAATAAATGGGGACAGATCAATTTTTCTAAAACTATTCAAAAAACTGAATATTCACAAGGGAATTAAAATCTGACCTTTAACTTCATTTTACACACAAAATCAGGTGGATCACAGACATTATATATATATATATATTTAGTACAGTATGTAGAACACGTAAGAAAATATCTTTGGGACTATGTGGTAGGGTAAGATGCCTGAAACTAGACCTAGAAAGCACTAATTATATAAGAAAATATTCTACATATTATACATAGTTGACTTGAGCAACGACTTTGGATACAGACTGAATCAAACTCAAAGCACTTTTAATCCTTTCATGTAGTGCTTAGTCTCAGATTCAGAACTGGCCCGTGGCAGTGGTAACAGTGCTCACTTCTTGAGATGTCAGGTGGGTTTGTATAAAATAATATATAAAGCATGTAGTATAATATCACATCTATACATATCATTAAGACTAATTTTTATAATAAATTGTGAGATTTATCTTTTAGATTTATATATCAGAATGAAATAATAAAACCACTAATAAATAATGGAGCAAATATTTCTAATTAGAGTTTTATAATTATTTTATAAACTTTTCTCGACTAACACGTTTATATTTGTCTTATATCATTCCTGTGATTACATGAGACAGAACATATATGCAAAATACGTTTACAAAGGTACTGCTAACACTTATTTCATTCAGAACAAACTCTCTGAATCACTTTCAACTCATCTTGTCCATGATTTTCCCCACAATATCATCATCTGTGCTAATCACAAGCATCAATGTTGCTACATTTCTCATGGGACTCCTACACTACTCTATGTAAGTTTATCTTTCCAGTCTCCTGACACCCTTCTGTAAGTTTTGATGCTTGATGTAATTACCCAAAGATGTCTTTGGGGAGGTTTAGACCAAGTTCATGTGTGTGTGCCTGAGGACAACCACATCATACGGCTTTCTGGCAATAATGTTATAACCCTTTCAAACAGAAGATGCATCTCTCTTTAAAAGATGTTAAAATGTATACCAAAGAATTGTTTACACACTTTTTCTCTGTGACTGCCCACTTCTCAGTGTTAAATCATGGTGGCTGAGGCAGGAGAATCGCTTGAACCCCGGGGGCAGAGGTTGCAGTGAGCCCAGATCGCGCCAGTTCACTCCAGCCTGGGCAAAACAGCGAACTCCGTCTCAAAAAAAAAAAAAAAAAATCATGGTGGCTAATGTGCTATATTTTAGTCTGTTATTAAGTAAACATTGTTGTATATATTTTCACATTAATTTACCAACTATATTTACATTCTACTTAGTTATTAGAAATTTTAGACTTATTAGTGAAGTGCTGTAATTGTTTTATAAACTATGGTTCAAGAAATCTGTTGATGAGGAAGATATAAATTGTAGAGAGACACTTGAAATTTTTCCTGAAGTGCTAGTTTTCTAAAGACTAAGGAAAATCTATATTTAAAAAATTGTGTCCTAAAGTTAGAAATATAACCAATGATCCCTGCAAGCTATATTACAAATTTAATTCTTTAATCTATAACATTCTTGATCTCTGTTTTTCTTCATTCTCATTCACCCTTTTAATCACACAAATGGTGATAATATATAGTCACTGTAGAAGCAGATGCACTGTGATTGTCATAAAATGCTTTGTTCTGCCCCCTTGCTACTCTGGCAAAGTCTACTTTTGGACACTTGGATATTGAAATTAGTTTTCCTGTTTCCTTGGGAAAATATTAAGTGAAGAAGAAACTCATACAATTCATAATTTAGGACTTTGACTGAAATTTCACCTATAGTTTTAGACTCCAGGAAGGTTGAATTACATGAACATGAAGTAATGATGTTAAATATATGAGCCATTCATCCACTGAACTACAACTCCTAATCAGGCTAGAGTGTGGAGACAGCATATTGGAGCATTTGTCTTAGATTGTGGTCTAACACTTGCGTTTGTTTGCAGTGACATCTTTTTCAGAATTGCAGTGGCCTTTGTGAATTTAGTGGCTTAGTATATTGTGGGAAATCATGCCTTCCATGCTATTAAAGCACTTGTTTGGGCACTCAGTGCTCAGCACTCTGCCTGTGTCCACGCCAATATGGCAGTAGAGTTTTGTGTATATTGCCTGTTTTCCTTTAAACTTGAGAACTCAGAGCTCAATTATTGTGACCACCATGTGGTAGTCCTCATAACTCATGTCCAGGTCTAACTGTGGCTCATGTCTGTTGCTCTGGCCATTTTTGGGTCCATTTACTGGTGGGCACAATATTCACAGTATGCATCATAATAGATCAAAAAGTATGCATTAAAATGAAGATAAACAGAAGATCTGTCATTTAAGTATTGTACTATAGTATCTTCAGTTAAAATTTTAAAAAATTGAATAAACCTCCTTTAAGATGTCAAGTTTAAAAGAGGAATCGTGTCTTAAAGAGTAAAGTACATGGAACTTGTAAGACTTGGAAGGTTTCTTAAAGTACAGATGCTCAAATAACAGCACCTAAATCACTTCTATGCTGATATCAGAAGTGAAAAATGTGGTCAAGGTCAGTCATATCTCTCACTCTAGGTCTCCAGGCTGCAAGATCTCATTTTCTCATATAAACTATGAATGTGCTATAGAGAATATGCCCCATGTTTATGGACCATCATAAAGGCAATAGTCTTGGCTTTGTCTATGTCTGTGTGAGTGCAGCATGCAGATTCATGGCTTGGTATGCTTTGTAGGCATGGGTCTTTGGCACAACCCTGTTCCTAACACCGCAGAGTGCTGTGAACTACGAACAGGGACCTATGTGGGGGACAGCTGGACAGTTCTTCCTGCTGTGAGATTCTTTGTTTAGCCAGAACATGTGCAGAGTCACCATTTAGCCTGGGTCCTTCTCTTAGATCACTGCATGGTGGAGGGAGATCTGTTACATACTGCTTTTTCTTGTATCTACTGAGCTTTCTCCAGCCATACACAGCATATACTGAATCACTCACATGACTTCACCTGCCAAAAACCAGTTGTCCACAGATTCATATGGAGGTCTTAGTAAGCAAGCACTGTCATCAACCACCATATTTAGAAGCATTGTTTGTGTGCCCTACTCACCTGCTGTCATGATGACATTTATTCTGTGGTCTTTGACCTTGGAAATGGACAATATAATTCCAAGATGTGAAGAGCAACAGAATATATGGTTCCAAATAATTCATGACAAGAGAAATAGAAATTATCACAGTGATCTGATAATCAGTTGAAGAACAAATCCCTGTACCAAGGGAATTAAAACACTCTGCTGATTGTAGAAATACAATTTGTGTTCCCTGTCACTGACATTTTGCAATATTGGCTTCTAATGTCCAGCAGTCATTTTTTCCAGAAAGGCTTTAGTGGAATTATGTGAATAAACTGCCAGACAATGTCTGAAAATGGGGCGTCCTGGGATATATGAGGAACAGGCACCTCTCTCTGAAGAAGTGGTTACTGACACTTGAAATGGTCCTGGATAATCAGTAGCATGATTTCAAAGACAAAAATGGATGACAGTCCCTGGAGCTAACTGTGTTTAACTGAAGCAGGTGCACCTGGGTTCGGAATGGTGGCTAGATTATGAAAGCTCTGCTGCTGTTCTTTCCCTACTTGCCCACCCCATCTCCTGAAACCAAGCTAATGTGCTTGTGTCTTTTTGTTGGTTTTTGTTTTGCACCAAAATATTATTTAAAAATTATTTTGAAATCATATTTGACTTACAGAAGGACGTATATATAGTGCAGAGCGTTTCATATACCTTTCAGCTTAAAGGAATGTTAACATGTTATATAACCATAGACTATTCATGAAAACTGAGAAATTGACAGTGATATAAAACTATCAATGGAACTACAGACTTTCTTCATAGTTTTCTTCAGGTTTCCAATAATGTCACTTTTCTATTCCAGTATCTAATCTAGGATACCACATTACATTTAATGCAAGGTGTATTACTTAGCTATTGTTGTATAGCAAATTCCCATACAGCTTAGTGGCTGAAAAGCACATACACATTACTCATAGTTTCTCTTGGTCAGGAATCTAGATGCAGAAGATGGCCAAGGCTGAAGTCTCCCCTGAAGGCTCAGCTGGGGAAGGATCCTCCCCAGGCTCACATGATTGTTGTTAGGATTTAATTCTGGTTCCATGTTAAGATGACTTCACTAGGAAATTATTTCATACTTTTAAAGAATAAATACAAATTCATTATGAATTCTCTAAAAACATTAAACAACAGCAATGACAGTGGTGAACAGATCACTTCCCAATGCACACTATGTGGTATTTCATCCTCATACCACAATTAGACCAAAACACTTCAAGAAAGGAAAATTAAGACCAATATGTCTTATGAATAAAGAGGCAAAAATCCTTAAGGAAATAATAGCAAAACAAGTCAGCAACATGCAAAAAGTATCATACACTATGGCTAAGGGTATTTCCTCAGGAATGCAAATTTTGTTCAGCATACAATTCATGCACTGTGGATGGATTCTGTGACAAGCTGACATCATTGACATCAACAGGCAAGTTAAACTCCTCCCTCACAGTATATGCATAAATAGTTCAAATTAGTCACTGATGTGGTTTGGACTTGTGTTCCTGCCCAAATCTCACGCCATATTGTAATCCCCAATGTTACAGGAGGGGTTTGGGGGGAGGTGATTGGATAATGGGGGAAGATTTCCCCTTGCTGTTCTCATGACAGTAAGTGAATTTTCATGAGATATCATTATTTAAAAGTGTGTAGGACCTCACCCTTCTTTCTCCTCTTCATTCTCAGACCATAAAAGATGTGCCTGCTTTCCCTTCTCCTTCTGCCATGATTGTAAGTATCCTGAGGCCTCCCCAGCCATGTTTCCTCTACAGCCTGCAGAACTATGAGTTAATTAAACCTCTTTGCTTTATAAATTACCCAGTTTCAGGTAGTTCTTTATAGCAATACAAGAACAGGCTAATACAGAAAATTGCTACTGGGAGTGGGGCATTGCTATAAAGATACTTGAAAACGTGGAAGTGACTTTGAAACTGGGTAATGAGCAGAGGTTGGAACAGTCTGGAGGGGTCAGAAAAATACAGGAATATGAGGAGAAGTTGGAACTTTCCAGAGACTGGTTAAATTGTTGTGACCACAATGCTGATAGTGACATGGGCTATGAAGTCCAGGCTGAGGTGGTCTCAGATGGAGATGAGGAACTTACTGGGAACTACAGTAAGGATCACTCTTGTTATGTTAGCACAGAGACTGTTGGCATTGTGCCCTTGCTCTAGGGATCTCTGGAACTTTGAATTGGAGACTGATGATTTAGGGTATCTCGTAGAAGAAATTGCTAAGCACAAAGTGTTCAAGATGTGGCCTGGCTGCTTCTAACAGTGTATTGTCATAGTGTGAGCACAGTGATGCTATGAAACTAAAACTTATATTTAAAAAACAGGCAGAGCATAAAAGTTTAGAAAATTTGCAGTCCAGCCATTTTGTAAAAAAGAAAAACCTGACCAGGTGCTGTGGCTCATGCCTGTAATCCCAGCACTTTGGGAAGCTGAGATGGGTGGATCACAAGGTCAGGAGTTCAAGACCAGCCTGGCCAATATGGTGAAACCTCGTCTCTACTAAAAATACAAAAATTAGCCTGGCATGGTGGCACATGCCTGTAGTCCCAGCTACTCAGGAGGCTGAGGCAGAAGAATTACTTGAACCTGGGAGGTGGAGGTTGCAGTAAGCTGAAATCGCACCACTGCATTGCAGCCTGGGCGACAGAGTGAGACTCCGTCTCAAAAAAAAAAAAAAAAAAAAGAATCCATTTTCTGGGGAGGAATTCAAGCCAGCTGCAGAAATTTGCATAAGAGGAGCCAAATTAGCAGGGCGTGGTGGCTCATGCCTGTAATCCCAGCACTTTGGGAGGCCGAGACAGGCGGATCATGAGGTCAGGAGATTGAGACCATCCTGGCTATCACAGTGAAACTGTGTCTCTACTAAAAAATACAAAAAATTAGCCAGGCTTGGTGGTGGGTGCCTGTAGTCCCAGCTACTCGGGAGGCTGAGGCAGGAGAATGGCGTGAACCCTGGAGGCTGGAGCTTGCAGTGAGCCGAGATCGCACCATTGCACTCCGGCCTGGGCGACAGAGCGAGACTCCGTCTCAAAACAAAAAAAAAAAAAGAGGAACCAAATTTTAATATCCAAGACAATAAGGAAAATGCCTCAAAGCCACTTCAGGAACCTTCCCATCAGCCCCTCCCATAATAGGCACAAAAGCCTAGGAGAAAATAATCATTTCAAGCGCCAAGTCCAAGGCCTTGGTGCCCTGTGCAACCTGGAGCCACTGCTTATCACTGTGCCCCAGCGGCTCTAGCTCCAGCTCTGACTAAAAGGTCCCCAGATACATATCAGGCCACTGCTCCAGGAGGTGCAAGCCATAATCCTTGGCAGTTTCCACTTGGTGTTAAGCCGGAAGGTACACAGAGGGAAAGAGTTGAGGCTTGGGAGCCTCTGCCTAGATTTCAGAGAATGTATGGAAATGCCTTGATGCCCAGGCAGAAGTCTGCTGCAGTGATGGAGCCCTTAGGGAAAACCTGTATTAGGACAGTGCAGAGAAGAAGTACAGAGTTGGAGCCCCCACAAAGCGTCTCCACTGGGGGCCTAGTGGAACTGTGAGAAGAAGGCCACTGTCCTCCAGACCCCAGAGTGGTATATCCACCAACAGCTTGCACTATGTGCCTGGAAAAGCCACAGGCACTCAATGCCAGCCCTTGAGAGCAGCCATGGTAGCTAAGCCCTGCCAAGCCAGAGGGTCAGAGCTGCCCAAGGCCTTGAAAGCTCATCCCTTGCATCAGTGTGGCCTGGATGTGAGATACAGACTCAAAGGAGATCAGTTTGGAGCTTTAAGATTTAATGACTGCCCTGCTGGGTTTCAGACTTGCATGGGGCCTGTTGCCCCTCTGTTCTAGCTGATTTATAACTTTTGGAATGAGGGTATTTACCCAATGCCTGTACCCCCATTGTATATTGAAAGTAATAACTTTGCTTTTGATTTTACAGGCTCATGGGTAGAAGGGACTTGCCTTGTCTCTGATGAGACTTTGGACTGTGGACTTTTGAGTTAATGCTGAAATGAGTTAAGAGTTGGGTGACTATTGAGAAGCAATGATTGTATTTTGCAATATGAGAAAAAACATGTTATTTAGAAGAGGCCAGGGGCAGGATGATATGGTTTAGATTTGTGTCCCCTCCCAATCTCATGGCAAACTGTAATCTCCAATGTTGGAGGAGGGGCCTGGTGGGAGGTGACTGACTCATGGGGGGAGATTCCCCCTTGCTGTTCTGGTGATAGTGAGTTATCACAAAATGTGGTTGTTTAAAAATGTGTGGCACTTCCCTCTTCTATCTATTCCTCCTTCTCTAGCCATGTAAGATGTGCTCACTTCCCCTTTGCCTTCCACCATGATTGTAATTCTCCCCAGTCATGCCTCCTGTACAACCTGTAGAACTGTGGATATATTAAACCACTGTTCCTTATTAACTACGCAGTCTCAGGTAGTTCTTTATAGCAGTGTGGGAACAGACTAATACAATCATACATCTAAATAGCCAAAACTAAAAACAGAAACAAATTGTTTAACAAAAACAATGGTTTCTAAGATATGACAACTAATGCACAAGAGGAAGGAGAAAATAGATATATTGAAAAATCACTAATAAAATATATCATAATTTAAGGTACATAATAAAAGAATAAAAATTTAAAAATGGGAGAAAAGTCTTTGTATGTCAAATAGCCAATAAGAATTTATAATCCAGAATATACTACAACATCTTACAACTCAAAAATCCAAAGACAAATGCTCCAATCAAAAATAGAAAATTTGAACAATCATGTCTCCAAATAAGCTATAGTAATGTTTAATAAGCATATGGAAAGATGCTCAATGCCTCTGTCATTAGGGAAATGTAAATCCCAACCAGAAGATATCCTTTACTAACCCAAAAGGCATATTACTAAGTCCAAAAAGCAATTTGGAAAAAGCAAAATACTTTTTTAAAAAATATATGACACTCTAGAAAAGGCATAAGTATAAAGACAGTAAAGAGTTTATTGGTTACCCGGGTCTCAGCAAAAAGGAAAGACAAATCTGTAAAGATAGAAAATTTCTCTTTGTATATTATTATGTATGCTACTGTAACGTGGATAAAAGGTACAGTTTTTCAACTCCCAGAAAACTTTATAACACAAAGAGTGAAGCTAAAAGTATGTAAATTAACAAAATAACTTATTTAGTAGATAGGAACAGTCCAGGAAGAAATGCAGAGAAAATACTTTATACAAATCTATGAAATAATCCACTGAAGGAAGGGGAAAAATAAGCCTTCCTAAGCAACTTGCATAATAAGTGCAGATTCTGTCTAAAGGCTAAAGGATTTATACATAAGCAGTTGGTATACATAAACAGGTGGTAAGGGTGTTTCTCATGGGGTTGTGTGTTTCTTATTCTGAAACCACTATGCCTGCATTTTCAGGTGGTTAAATATTACAGTGGTAGGCTACATATAGATTAGTGAGATGGGTAGACAGATTCACATGGTGCTGAATAAGATCGTGTGGGACTGAGGACGCTGCAGGAATTCATGTTTAATTTAATGCAGATACATATGGAGACTTGTAGAAATTTGTAAACATATGTGTATATTTACTCTTTGCTCTGTTAGCTAGGAAGGCCTCCAATCAACACGTTCACCAGTAACAATGTGTACAACCAATGAGTGCCCAAATCTTCATTTTAAATTTCATTCTCCAACAAAAAAGGTAGGGATCTGTGAAAAAAAGGTCAATAATTGACTTGAACAGGGACTAAATACAATTAGCCTGGAGTATCTAGTGGTGATCAAACAACAAAATGCTCAACAACAATGCAACCAATGAATCAGCCACATAACAATATTAAATCTTAAATATGGTGGTATTTCAAAATGACAGGAGACTCAATTGAAAGACTTTCTGATGGCATTCAGTCTCATACTGAGTGTTTAAACAAGGTTTTCTCTGGTTTGAGCATTTTGGACTTAGACTATGGTACCCAAAAAGCATCCCAGGATCTCCAGCTTTACATGGCATGTGGTGGAAACGGTCAGCCTCCATAATCCTATGATTCAGTTCCCCTAAAAATCTATCTATCTATCTATCTATCTATCTATCTATCTATCTATCTACCTATCTACCGCTAGCTAGCTAGCTCCTACATATCTATCCTATTGCTTCTGTTGCTCTAGATAACCCTGACTAGTATAGATTTTGGTAGTAAGAACAGTTGTATAGGAAGAGAATTTTAAGGATGAGTGTCCTTAATCAAATTTGGGGTTTCTAGAATTGGCTTTCTAATCTGATTGGACCTAAATTCTAAGAACTGTACTTCTAACAGTAGAAAGAGCAATGACAGTCAATGACATGAACTGTTTTTAGAGATCCCCAAAATGTCTGCATTTGATGCTCTTAATTAAACACTGATAAGAGGCAAGGTACTTGTTTACTCTGTATGTAATACAGACATTTGCATAAAACCATGGAACATAATGATGACGGGTTTGTTGCTTCTAATTTCACTAGGAAATTTGATGAAAGACAATAATGAGCTTAGGGATTCAATTTTGCAGAACCAGCTCCACATACACAGCCTAAGAGTTTCTACCTGTGCTCTGAGCCAGAAAACTCTCTTGTAGCCACAGGGAAGTATTTGCTAAAAGTCAAACACAAGCCCTTATCATGCCACTGGCTGAATTACAAGAAACACTGAACTCCTCAGTCTGGCAGGGTGTCTACTGTTGAAGTGGAAGTTGAGAAAGAATAGCATCCTGTAACTTGGGATGAGGATGGATGGGAAGACTGATGTGGCTGGGGACACTGATCTCCTAAATTCTAATGAGTTTTTATTGCCAGCAGAAGTAGCCTCCTTACAGCCACCCTTGGCAATGGCCTTCTCACACAAAGTGATGTAGGCCTTTCCATATGTGTCTGAGTAGCTTACAGCTACAATGCCTAAGGAAACGGTAATGGCTTCCCCTGAAGCAGCTGTCAAACAATACACTGCTGATTATCTTCAAGACCCACCCCTGACCGCTGTGTTTCTTCTAGACTCATGGTGAGACTAAAGTTACAACATGCCCATGAGGAGGTGTGATATATGTGAAAAAAGCTACCTGAGCTTTCTAACTAATGCAAACAGAAATCTGAAGACCCTATGTGGAAATAAAGATTATGGCTGTGGATAGCTGGGTGTGGTGGCTTGTACCTGTAGTCCCGGCTACA
This sequence comes from Homo sapiens, assembly GCF_000001405.40. NCBI lineage: Eukaryota > Metazoa > Chordata > Mammalia > Primates > Hominidae > Homo > Homo sapiens. The sequence goes on along the minus strand of NC_000015.10, from coordinate 24,088,590 downwards.
CGGGAGGCTGAAGTGGGATGAATGCTGGAACCCAGGTGTTTGAAGCTACAGTGAGTGATGACTGTGCCACTGCACTCCAGCCTGGCCAAAGGAACAAGACCTCATCTGTAAGAAACCAAAACAAGAAAAAAAAAAAAGCGTTGATAACAGTAGAAGGAATATAAACTTGAATCGGTCCAAATTTAATGATATGGGGCCATTAAGCAGATATTCCGGTTTAATGTTGCAGCTTGGGTATTTAAGGATGGTATTAGTAGTTTTATGACAGGTTGGCTGAAGTATAGTTCAACAGATGTATGACCATGAGCAAGTCGGTGATTCCCCCATCTTCCCTGTATTATGTTGGATGAAGGAATTCATAGGCCTAGGGAGATAGGAATGCTAGAATGGATCTGCCGTTTAAAAGCAACTTACAGCAGGGCATGGTGGCTCATGCCTGTAATTCCAGCACTTTTGGAAGCCAAGACAGGTCCATCACTTGAGGTCAGGAGTTTAAGACCAGCCTTCACACCTAGGGTTAAGTGACGAGTTAATGGGTGCAGCACGCCAACATGGCACATGTATACATATGTAACTAACCTGCACGTTGTGCACATATACCCTAAAACTTAAAGTATAATAAAAAAAATTGAAAAAAAAAGAAAAACTCATTCTAAAATTCAAATGGAAAAAAAAAAAAAAAAAGACCAGCCTTGCCAACATGGTGAAACCCCACCTCTACAAAAAACTACAAAAATTAGCCAGACATGGTAGCACACACCTGTTGCCCCAGCTACTCAGGAGGCTGAGGCCGGAGGATGGTTTGAATCCAGGAGGCAGAGTTTGCGGTAAGCTGAAATCATGCCACTGTACTCCAGCCTGGGCAAAAAAAGTGAGACTCTGTTTCTAAATAAATAAAAAAATAAATGCAACTTACCCATATTGATAGACTCCAGAAAACATACTGTTTATCAGGACTTTGTTAGGTAGATTTGTGTGGGGAGGCTGGGTACAACTGAAGAGCTCCCTGATCTCTCTTCTCTGTAGACCAGACCTTAATACAGAAACCACAGTACACCAACTGGAAAATCAAAATGCAAGGGGAATAACCGAGTTTCAGGGAATCTTGGGAGCAAGTAGCAACATTCGATCTTCAAAGGCAAGGTTGGCATAGTTATGTCAATGGACAGCAAAGGCGAAGCAACAATCAGGTTCATCTGATTCCTATAGATTTATGTTGCTGGCTAGTTTATAATAGTGTTCTTGGAATTGAAGTACACAGGTAGCCTACTAAAGGCTTACTTGATTTGAAGAAGCAGAAAATCTTTAGATCAAATGAACAAGATTCTACCTCAAATCCTAAAAACCAGAGACTCAAAGAACCTCACTCAATTCTCACAATTGAGCGAGTTTACAATCTCAGAACCCCTTGAAAGGAGCAGCAGCCCAGTCCTCTTGAAGTAGGACACAAGTACACTACCAAAATGTTATAGTTTATATTTCTGCTATCCTTCCTAAAAGGAACCTACAATCACTTACTAGAGTAATGACAGCAGCAGGAGGTAGACACATCCTTAGGCAGATATGGGCCGCTCCCCGATGAAACCCCACCTTCAAACCAAAGACTGTTTAAAGCCTGAAAGCCAAGCTCCAAGACTCAGATAAATCCACAGACCATATTGGGAAGCTCCTCGTTTGGCACACTTTCCTCTGATTGGTCCCCACCCTTCACCTACTTTACATATACCTACTCTTTCCTAATTTTCTTTTTTTTTTGGCACCATTGCACCCACCTTTGAGTGGTCGCTTATTTTACCATTTTATGCATTCTCACAAACCAATCAGCATGCACTCCCCCATTCTGAGCCCATAAAAGCCCTGGACTCAGCCACACTTGGGGACTACCTGCCTCTGGGTGGGGAGGACCACCTGCCTAATGTATTCTCTCTACTGAGAGCTGTTCCATCACTCAATAAAACTCTTCTCTGCCTTTCTGACACTTTGACTGTCAGTGTAACCTCATTCTCCTTGGACATGAGAACTCAGGAACTGCCAAACAAATGCGAGTACAAAAAAGCTGTAATACTGTGGCCCTCCACACTCTGCCGGTACCCACCAACCACTGCACATGATGGGAAGCTGCAGGAGGGCTGGGCCAGCTCTAGAGTCATGAGTCAGAGTGAGGCAATGGTACTGAACGAGCTGTAGCATGCTATAACACCCACTTTGGGACTTTGGGGTTACTGATGTCTCCGAGTTTTTTGGGTGCCACTGCATTCCCCTCATCCAGATGCCAGTGCCCAAGGTGAAGCAGTTTGTGGCAGGCCCAGCCCAGCTGCAGGCTAAGCATGGATCTCACAGCCAGTGTGGGATCCAGGGCAGAGTGCAAGCTAGGTGCCATCTGGAAGGGTGAGAGGGCAGGGTGCCTCCTGCAGTGAGTCCGAGGTGGAGGGAGGCCTGAGCAGGGGCATCGCCAGCCATGGAAGTCTCCAGCTGGTTTTAAGTGGCACTGAAAATCATCCTTCAGTAACTGTGCTTTAATAAAATAAATTTTGAGGATCACTGGACACTGACTCTGCACTTGACATTGATTCCAGGAGACCCACAGTAACCCTGTAGCCCACTAATTAGAGTACCTTCTTATAGAGGTCAGGTGATTAATGGAGTTTTAGCTCATGTCTGACTCACAGTGGGTCTGGTGGGTCCCTGAAGCCATTCTCTGATAATTTTCCAGTTCCTGATGCATAATCGGAATAGAAACACATAACAGCTGAAAGAATGCCCATATTGGTAGCCTAACCAATGAGAACAATTAGGGTGAGAAAGCACAAATGCAATCCAAGAGAGATGCTTCTATCTAGGAAAATATTAAATCAAAAACATAACTGCATCTTTGGAGGAATTTAAGACATTAGTGCCACCATCACGGACTTGGAAGATGCAAGAATGGTTATTTTCACCACATTCCCATGCAACTCTCCTATTTGGCCTATGCAGAAGATAAATGGATACTAGATAATGACAGTATATTCCCAGAAGCTCAATCAAGTATCAACTAAAATTGAAGTTGTTATACAAAATGTTGTTTCATTGTTCCAGCAAATTAACACATTTCCTGGAACTGGTATGTAGCTACTGATCTAGTGAATGCTTTATCTCTATCTCTGTCCATAAGTTTCAAAAGAAGTTTGTTTTCAGATGCCACAGACAGCACTAAACCTTAACTGTCCTACCTGAGGAGTATATTAACCATCTATCCCATGTCACAAACAGAACACTTCATTAACTTCCCTTCCACAGGTATCACATTGGTCCATTTCATTGATGGGATAATGGTGATTGGACCAAGTGAATGTCAAGTAGCATTTACACTTAGCATACTCATAAAATATTTTTATGTCAGACAATATATTATGACATAATATGTGGGCAATATATTTAACTGAAATTCTGTTAATATATATTGTGGGCAATATATATTATGTGGGCAATATATTTAACTGAATATATATTATGTTAATATATATATTCAGCCCACAGAAATATATTATGTGGGCAATATATTTAAATGAAATTCAGAGGCCTTCTACATTAGTGAAATTTGTAGATATCCAGTGGTGTGGAACATTTTGAGGTATTCCTTCCAAAATAAAGTAAAATTGGTTGCATCTGGTCTCACCAACAACCAAGAAAAAGGCACAAGGCCTAGCGGGCCTATTTGGATTTTGGAGGCAACAATTTTGTCCTTTGGGTGTGTTACTCTGGCCCATCTACCAAACAACTCAAAAAGCTTCTAGGTTTGAGGGGGCCCAGAACACAAGACTTCAGCAGTACAGGCTGCCATGCAAGCAGCTTTTCCACTTAGGCCATATAATCCAGCAGATCCAACAGTACTTGAGGTGTCAGTGGCAGATAGAGATGTTCTTTGGAGTCTTTCTTAGGCTCCCACAGGTAAATCACAGTAGAGGGTCTTCAAATTTTGGAGCAAGGCACTGCCCTTATCCACAGATAAATACCCTCTTTTTCAGGGTCAGTTTGTGTCCTACCACTGGGTTGTAATAAAATAAAATGCATGATTTTGAGCCACCAAGTTCCATGTATCCTGAGCTGCCCATCATGAATGAAGTGTTTCCTGACCCACCTAGCCATAAAGTTGAGTGTGCATGGTAGCACTCTAACAAATGGAAATGGTACATATGTGATTGGTCCAGAACAGGTCCTGAAAACACAAGTTACATGAAGAAATATACAACTGCCTACAATCTCCACTCCTGCCACATTGCCTTCTCTCTCCTAATCTGCACTTATGGCCTCATGAAGAGTTCCCTATAATCAGTTGACAGAGTAAGAGAAGACTGTTCAGATGGTTCTTCAGGATATCCAGACACCACCTGAAAGTAGACAGCTGCAGCACTATCGCCCTTTCTGGGACATCCCTGAAGGACAGTGGGGAAATAAATCTTCTCTATCGACATAAATCAGTCAGTATATCTAGCTGTGCACTTTGCTTGGAAGGAAAAATTATTGTGAGTGTGCTTATATATTGATTCATGGGCTGCGTACAATGATTTGATCAGTCAGAAACTTGGAAATACATGATTGAAACATGCTGACAAAGTAATTTGCAATAGAATCATGTGGATAGCCCTCTCTGAGTGGCAAAAGAAAATGTGAAGACATTTGTGTTCCATATGGATTCCCACCAAAAGACCAACATTGAGTCCCTGATAAGGCACAATTCCCCAGAATAGTCGACCATTAACCCGGTGGTAGGTTGGTTATATTGACCTACTCTGATCATGGAAGGGGCTGGGGTTTGCTTCCTACTGAATAGACCCTTATTCTGATTATGTGTTTTCCTTTTCTGCATGCAGACCTTTTGCCAAAACCCATCCATGGACTTAAAGCCTGCCTTATATACAATGATAGTATTCCATACAGCATTCCTTCTCAACAAAGAACTACACAACCATAAAATTGTTGCAATGATCTTATGCTCATAAATTTCACTGGTTTTTCCATGCACACCATAATCTTGGAGAAACTGGTTGGATAAAATGGTGGAATATGCCTTTGGAAGTCACAGGTATGGTACCTGCTAGGTGAGAACACTATGCAGGTTTGAGTCAAGGTTCATCTGAAGATTGTATATGCTAAAAAATCAGAATGTATTATATAGAAAATTTTATCCCCAAACCATAATTTACAGGTTTAGAAATCACAGGATTAAAAATTAGAGTTGCACCATTCACTATTCCTAACGTAACACTAGCAAAAATTTTACTTTCTGTTCCTGTGATTTTAAGCTATACTGGTCTAGAGGTCTTACAGACAGAGGAATGCTGCTGCTAAGAGATACAGCAATTATTCAACTGAACTAAAAGTTAAGACTGCCACTCAGCCATATTAAGCTCCTTATATTTCTGAGTCAAAAGACTGAGAACACAGTTGCAGTGTGGTCAGGAGTAACTGATCTAGACTACCAGTTTAAAATGGGACTAATACTCCACAACATGGGTAGAAGAGTATTATATGGGAAACAGCGGATCTTGTGACAGTTACTGTGGTTGGAACATTTTCCCTTAACCGAACTCATTTTTAAATTTAATCCCCAATGTGGCAGCATTGAGAGTTGGGGCCTCATAGAGGTGACCATATCATAAGTGCTCTGCCCTTATAAGTGGATACATCTACTAAAGTATTAATGGGTTAAAGGATTAATGGTTTATTATGTGAGGTTAAGTGGTGACTTTGTCGGAGGAAGAGAGGTCTGCACTAGCATTCCAAACCTCCAGCCAGCCGATACCCTGTGTGGCCTCAGGAATCTTCGGAGAGTCTCCACCAACAACAGGCTATTGCCAGATACTGCCCCTTAACCTTGGACCTCTCAGCCTCCATAACCAAAAGAAATAATTTTTAAAAATAAATTACCCAATATTCTGTATTCTGTTTTATAAGCAAAGAACAAAGGTTACTACAGAAATCAGTGATGAGAAGTGTGATCTTGCTGATAATGAATACCATACCTGAAACTGTAAAACTAGTCTTGGAACTAGGTATTAATAGGGCAGAAGTTTGAAGAATTTGGAAAAACAGGCTGGAAAAAGCCTAGGTTCTGGTGAGGGGTTAGAAAACAAGAAAATGGGAAAAGTTTGGGAGTCCTTAGAGACAGGTGAAGTTGTTGTGAACAGACTGTTTACAGAAATATGAAGATTTAAGGCCATTCTGACTAAGTTTCAGATGGAGCTGAGGAATTAGACATTGGAAATTAAGGCCATTCTTAAAATCAACGGGCAAGTAATGTGGCTGTGTCCATGCTCAAGGGCTTTGTGAGAGGCCTATCTTCAGAGTGATGAACTAGGGAACCTGACGGGAGAAATTTCTAAGCTTCGAAGTGTTCAAGCTGTAGCGTGGTTACTCCTAACTGCTTAAGGTAAAACTGCTAGAGAAAAGAAAAACACAAAGAAAAAATCTGAAGCCTGGCCAAGTGAGAATGAAAAAGCCTTTCCAGGAGAATAGTCCAAGGTTGCGGCAGAGCCACAGTGTTCCAGAGACGGGCATGATTTAAAGGGAGCTAGGTGTCAATACTCAAGACAATGGAAGAAAAACCCCACAGGCATTTCAGTAATCTTCTAGGCTGTCCATCCCATCAGAGGCCCAGCAGCATAAGGGGACAGGATTGTTTCTGGGGACAGGTGGTGGCATTGCCATGTGCCACTTTAGGGTGCTGCTCTCTGAATTCCACCTGCTTTGGCTCCCAAGTGGGGCTTGTGCCCCAGCTCTGGAAGATACAAATTGTACTACCTGGAAATGCTTATGAGGTGGTAATTCTGTAGGCTTACAGAAAACAAGAGCTCTGGAGGCTTGGTAGCCTCCACAAATTTAAAAAAAAATTTCAAAAGCCTGGGGTCCCAATCAGAGATTTCTCACAGGGGTAGAGCCCCCAAAGAGAGCCCCCAGTAGAGCAATATTAAGTGGGAATGTAGGTTGGAGCTGCTGCAAAGACTCTCCACAAGAGCATGCCTGGTGAAGCTATAAAAGCAGGGTCAGCACAGAGTCCTCACTAGGATAATGCTTAGTGCTGCTGTGGAGGTGGTACCACCACCAGGACCCCATAACTGCAAAGTCACTCACAGCATTGACCACTTGCTTGGAAAAGCTTCAGGCACCTGACTGCAACCAGTACAAGCAGCCCTATGGCTCCCAGAATAGTCTGTTTTTCTCCTTTTCAAACAGAGATATTTCAGGAGATCTTTCTGAAAAATGCTAAAACAGAATGTATCACACCTGACATTTATTCAAAACGTGATATTGGAATTCAATTTAGGGCAGAGAATGTGTGAACAGATTACAATAATTGAAATGGTTATTTGAAAAACAATTATGGGCTAGCTGCAGTGGCTCACGTTGGTAATCCCAGTACTCCGAGAGGTTGAGGCAGGAAAATCACTTGAGCTCAGGAGTTTGAGACCAGCCTAGGCAACATGGCAAAATCCTGTCTCTACAAAAAAAGTGAAAAATTAGCCAGGCATGGTGGCATGCATCTGCAGTGCCAGCCACTCATGTGGCAGAGGCAAGAAGATTGCTTGAACCTGGGAGGTCAAGACTGCTGCGAGCTGTGATCATGCCACTGCACTCCAATGTGGGTGATAGAGTAAGACCGTATCTCAAAAAAGAGAAGGAGAAGAGGAAGGGGAAGAGGAGGAGGAAGAGGAGGAGGAGGAGGAGGAGGAGGAGGAGGAAGAGGAAGAAGAAGAAGAGTAAGAAGAAGAAGAAGAGGAAGAAGAAGAAGAAAGGAACAATTACGAATGCATTTGAAAAAAAAAGAATGTCTTATTGCACAACACAAAAATAAAATTTTCTCTATACGTGATGATTATGTGACCACAGAGGAAATTTAACCTAAATGCATTTGCAGACAAAAACAGGAAATAGTATTACAGTGCAAGAATAGTCAGTGAATTGGAAAAGATATTTTTTTCAAAAATGTTCTAGAAAATTGAATATCCTTTAAGAGGAATTAAAACCTGAAATGTGACCTCACATTAAATGCAAAATATATTCCAAGTGGATCATAGACCAAAATAAAAAATATTTAATCCAATATATACAACACAATTTAGGGAAATATTTTCATGAGCATGGAGCAGGGTAAGATTCCTAAAACTAAACTTAGAAAGTATTTACCATATAAGAGAAAACACATTGGAATACAGTTCATGAGAGCTAAGTCTCTGGAGACAGATTGTGTCAAACTGAGATTCTCCTAATTCTTTCCTTCAGAGTTTTTGGATCACATTCAAAATTGGACTATGGAAATGGTAATAGCACCTACTTCCTCGTGTTGGCTGGATTGTATGAACTAACAGTATTTAAAATATATAGTGTACACTAACAAGTATTAAAACTTTTTCTAGTAAATTGCGAGATGTATTACTGCATCAATTGTAACATGTATCACTTGTTTATATATAAGAATGGAAGAATAAAACCACAACCAAATGATGAAACAAATACATTTCACATAATATATTAGAAATTTTAGGGACCGGGCGTGGCGGCTCACACCCATAATCCTAGCACTTTGGGAGGCTGAGGCAGGTGGATCATGAGTCAGGAGTATGAGACCATCCTGGCCAACATGCTGAAACCCCGTCTCTACTAAAATACAAAAATTAGCTGGGTGTGGTGGTGCACACCTGTAATCCCAGCTACTTGAGAGGCAGAGGCAGGAGAATTGCTTGAACCTGGGGGACAGAGATTGTGGTGAGCCAAGATCACACCACTGCACTCCACTCCAGCCTGGCAGCAAAGTGAGACTCCGCCAAAAAAAAAAAAAAAAAGAAAGAAAAAGAAAAAAGAAAAAAAAAGAAATTTTAAGTGATTTTTGAATTGCATAAAAATTTTACATTGTAATTGATTTTAAAGTCTTTTCCACTTAGATCCAAGTCTTTAGAATAATTTTTACTTCACTAGCCCATGATTGATTATTCATCATCTGTGCTAATCTGAAGCAATGGTGATTCTGCATTTCTTGTGAGAGTCCTGAACTACTCTTTGTGAGATTCTCTCTCCAAACACTTCTGTGAATTACAACAGTGATGATATTATCCAAAGATATCAAAGGAAGATTCTTAGACCAGTTTCATGTATGTGTACACGAGGACAGTGACATTAAAACTGCCTTCTGGCCAACAGTGTTCTGACACTATCAAATTTAAAATGCTGCATCTGTATGTGAAATGTGAAAATGTGCACTCTCAGATGAATGGAACACAGCATTTCTGTTAATGCCCATTTCTCATTGTTAAGTAAGGGTGGCACATCTGTGTATTCTGGCCTGTTATTGAGAAAACGTGCCTAGAAACATTTTCACAGAAATTGACCACCTCTGTGTCTTCCCAGCTATTAAACACATGAGAGCTTCTGCTGGGGTTTTGGAATTCCTATTTTCTATGTGGAGAAGTTGTTATATAAACTATGATTCATGAAATCCATTGAGAAGCAAAATAGAAATTTTAAATAGGTATTTGAAAATGCAAATTTGGTTAAATACACAAAAAAAGTTAGTGCCATGCAATATATTAAGAGAAAGAAAAAAAAAATGATCAAGATTTGTAGTACTGAGAGGTGACAATGTGCTAGCAGCCCTCGCTTGCTCTGGGTGCTGCCTGGGGCTCTGCGTCCACTCTGGCTGCACTTGAGGAGCCCTTCAGGCCGCTGCTGCACTGTGGGAGCCCCTCTCTGGGCTGGCCGACACTGGAGCCGGCTCCCTCTGCTTGCGGGGAGGTGTGGAGGGAGAACCACAGGCGGGAACCTGGGCTGTGCATGGTGCTGGCGGGCCAGTGCGAGTTCTGGGTGGGCGGGGGCTCAGCAGGCTCCGCGCTCCCAGCAGCAAGCTAGTGCCGACGGCACTGCCCTGGGCAGTGAGGTGCTTAGCATCTGGGCCAGCAGCTGCAGAGGGTGCGCCAGGTCCCCCAGCACTGCCAGCCTGCCCACATCGAGCTCGGATTCTTGCCAGGCCTCAGCTGCCTCCCCACGGGGCAGGGCTCGGGACCCGCAGCCTGTCATGCCCGAGCCCCGCAACTGGTGGGCTCCCGCCAAGCCTCCCTGATGGGTGAAGGCTCCTGCTCCATGACATCCGGTCCCATCGACCACCCAAGGGCTGAGGAGTGTGAGCGTGCAGTGCAGGACTGGCGGGCAGCTCCGCCCTTGGCCCCAGGCGTGGGATCCACTAGGCAAAGCCAGCTGGGCTCCTGAGTTGGGTGGGGACTTAGAGAACTTTTATGTCTAGCTAAAGGGTTGTAAATGCACCAATCGGCACTCTGTGTCTAGCTAAAGGTTTGTAAATGCACCAATCAGTGCTCTGTGTCTAGCTAATCTAGTGGGGACTTGGAGAACTTGTGTCTACCTAAAAGATTGTAAATGCACCAATTAGCTCTGTGTCTAGCTCAAGGTTTGTAAAGGCACCAGTCAGTGCTCTGTGTCTAGTTAATCTATTGGGGACTTGGAAAACTTCTGTGTCTACCTAAAGGATTGTAAATGCACCAATCAGCACTCTGTGTCTGGCTCAAGGTTTGTAAACGCACCAATCAACACCCTGTGAAAACGGACCAATCAGCTCTCTGTACAATGGGCCAATCAGCTCTCTGTAAAATGGGCCAATCAGCTGTCTGTAAAATGGACCAATCAGCAGGATGTGGGTGGAGTCAAGGGAATAAAAGCAGGCTGCCCAAAGCAGCAATGGCAACCCACTTGGGTCCGCTTGCATGGTGTGGAAGCTTTGTTCTTCGCAATGAATCTTGCCGCTGCTCACTCTGGGTCCACGCTGCCTTTATGAGCTGTTAAGACTTACCACAAAGGTCTGCAGCTTCACTCCTGAAGCCAACGAGACCACGAACCCACCAGGAGGAATGAACAACTCTGGCCGCGCTGCCTTTAAGAGCTGTAACACTCACCGTGAGGGTCTGCTGCTTCATTCTTGAAGTCAGCGAAACCAAGAACCCACCAATTCCCGACACAGCACTAGTATAAAAATAGGTATATGTAGGAAACAAATGGCTAAAAAAAATTTTAAAAAGGAATAAAGTAACAATAAAAAAGGATAGGTATATAGATCAATGGAATAAAGCTGAATGTCTAAAAATTACAACTTTATGATCTCATGATTTTATAAGAATGTCAATTTAATGCAATATGGAAACTTTTTGATCAAGTGTTGTTGGGTCAAGGGGATCTCTATGAGTTGAACTATTTAATCTGACACACATACATGTATATTAATGACTCAAATTATGATTAACTTAAATACAAGAAATAAATAGGCTTAACCCATAGAAAGTCACATAGGAATACATGCAGCTTCAGGTTAAACAATGGTTTCTATGATATGAATGCACACGCACCAGAAACTGAAGAAAAAATAGATACATTAAAATTTTTCTGAATTAAACAGTTTTGTGACTCAAAGTATACCATTAAGTAAAAAGACTCACAAAATATTGAAGAAAATCATTGCAAGCCATGTAGCTAATTAAGCTTCTCCTATGCAGAATATATAAAAGCATCTTAACAACTCAAAAATCAAAAGGCACATATCCCAATCAAAAAAGGTAAACTATTTGAATAGTTATTTCTCTAAAGAAGTGATTGTCATGTACAATACGCACATCAAAAGATGCTCAATGCTTTTTCTCATAAAAAAATGCAAATCGCACCTGTAATCCCAGCTACTCAGGAGGCTGAGGCAGGAGAATCGCTTGAACCCGGGAGGTGGAAGTTGCAATGAGCCAAGATTGTGTCATTGCACTCCAGCCTGGAAGACAGAGTGAGACTCTGTCTCAGGGGGAAAAAAAAGCATTTCAAAACAACTAAGAGATATACTTCACAAACTTAGAAGTCATATTGATATGTAATTACTTTTTAAAGTCTTTTCAACTTATATTCATGTGGCTATTTATCTTGTGATAAATCTGACATCATATTCTGGGAAAGGCAAACATGTAGAGATAGTAAAGCAGTAAAGTTTAGTGGTTACAATGGCATCAGGAGAGGAAATGCCAGTAAATCTTAAGTACAGAGGATTTGTTTTGGGCAGTAAAATTATTCTGTATGATACTGTAAGTGCGGATACATAACACTGATTTTCAAATTCTAACTTACATTATTACTAAGAATGAGCATAAAAGTATGCAAATTAAAAACCTTATTCAGTAGGTAGGGGTATCCCAGGAGGAAATGCAGGCAAAAATTAAATACAACTATATAATAACTATAAGACATAACTTCATTGAATGGAGTGGGGAATGAGGGACTGACCTATGAAACAGGAAATAAATGGAGATGCTGAGTCTTAAAGGTTTTGTACATAAGCACTGCACTTTAATTGGCAAAATTCTTTCTCATGGGAACATTACCAATTCTAAACTCACTATATATGTACATATGCATGGGCATTCCTAATTCAAAAATCAAAATTTCAACATTTAAAATGCCATTCAGCAGAATGCCTCCTCATCCATATGGGATGTGCTTCCTGGTTCCTCAACTGTTTGATTTTTCTTCTCACCTATTAAAATAAAATATGATGTATAGTAAGCTTTAAATCAAAACATAACATCACAGGAGGAGGCAGAAAACATGCCATCATTTGTTATTTATGGTAAAGGTACAGTCATGCATTGCTCAATGAATGAGAGTTCTGAGAAATGGGTTAGGTGGCTTCATCATATGTGAACATCCTAGTGTACACATAGAAACCTGGAGAGTATATAGCCTATTGCCCTTAAGCTACAAATCTGTATAACATATTATTATACTAAATACTGCACACAATTGTAACACAATCGTACCTGTTATTCTAAACACACCTCAACACAGAAAAGATACAGTGAAAATGTGGTATAAAAGATAAAAAATTGGTCACCTGTCTAGGGCACTTATCATGAACGGAGCTTGCAGGACTGGAAGTTTCACTGGGTGAGTCAATGAGGAAGTGGTGAGTGAATGTGAAGGCTAGGATATTACTGTACATGAATGTAGACTTCATAAACAGTGTATACTGAGACTAAAATAAAATTATAAAAATATTTCCCTATATTCAGTTATAAAAATGTATCTTAGTGTAGCTGTTTAACTTTAAAACTTGGTTTTTTAACATTTTGACTGTTTTGTAATAACACATTGTACAGATGTAAAAAAATTTCTTTATATTCATATTTGATGAGTTTTTTTCTACTTTAAATTCTCTTAATTTTAAATTTCCAACATTTTGCTAAAACCTCAGAATAGCTTAGGCCTACATATGGTAGGGACCATCAATATCACTATCTTCTACCTTCCTTTACTGGAAGGTCTTCAGTGGAAAAATACAGCCATGGATCTGTCCTCTTCTACAACAATACCTTCTTCTGGTTACCTCCTGAACTACTTATCTGAGCTTGTTTTACAATTAACTTTTTTTTAATTAGTAGAAGGAGTTCATTCTAAAATAATATAGTATTGTAAAAACATAAACCAGTAACATAGTTTGTTACTATTATCAAGTATTATGTACTGTACATAATTGTATGTGCTATACTTTTACACAACTGGCAGCACAGAAGGTTGTTTTTCTTATCAAAACACCAGGGGTTCAATCTAGGTCCTTTTGCTCACCACACAGAAAGTTAATTACTGAGACAAATTTTGCCAGGGAAGAAGCCTTTATATTCAGGTGACATCACCTAGAGAGATGGGAGATAAGCCTCAAATCCATCTCTTCCAACCAACTAAAATTGAGGGTTTATGTAGTTCAGAAGGAAGGTAGCCACCAGCAAGAAAACAGGCATTAGAAGGGGTAAGGAAGCCGTAATGACAATGAGGAATCTAGCATCTCATTGTCTAGATGCAGTGAACTGGTCAGTTTCAGTTCCTTGCCTGAGGGTCAGTTTCCTGAAGAAGAAGTTCAGATAAGACAGATAAAAGTTTCAAGTTTTAAGACCAGTGTGGGTCAATATTTATGTTTATTCAAAAAAATTATATTTGTCCCATGGAACAGTTGGGCTGGCTTCATTTTCGCAACACCACAATAAACAAACACATGAGTAATGCTTTGTACATAGCTAGAAGATAGAAAATTTTCAGCTCCATCATATTCTCATGAGACCTCTACCATATCTGCAGCCCACCTTTGTCTGAAATGTCATTAGGGGGCATGTGACTTTATACTAGGGATGCTACTCTGTTGCTTAGTTACCCTGAACATGCAACTATTTCACTGTATTAAAGGAATATCATTCTTTATAATGTTAAGCACTTATGTATAAATAAGTGTAAGAAAATAATTGCTTATCAGTAACATAAATTCAGAGTCAAGGACCATGGTGATGCTAAACAACCAAAGATTGTCTGCATGGGAGGCCTCTTAAGATAGTGACACCTCTGCTTTCTGATGGCTCAATATATGTAAGCTTTGTTTCATGCACAGTTATTAAAATATTGTGTAAAATTACCGAGACTACGTGTATAAGTCATATTTAAAATATAAATGCCTATTCCATTTCCACTGCTTCATTTGACTAGACTTTTAAAAGATATTTAAATATTAATGAAACAAAATATAAATGAATCCATGTATGGACTTGTGTCCCATCCATAAAATATCTCATCATGTATATAAAAATATTCCAAAATCCCAAAAAATCAAAAATCTTAAACATTTATGGTCCCAAGCATTTTGAATAAATAATACTCAACCTGTATTTTCAAGTGGTATTGTTAGAGTAGATAGTTAGCAGACATGAGCAGTGCAGAAGTGAGTTCCCCCTCCACCAGGAATGTCAGGCAACCATCAGATGATGGTCAGGCGATTGTTAAACTGTCTCTCTAAATAATAATTGGTGGCAACTGGCACTGGGGGAGCAGTCTCCCCATAGATAGAAAACACCTGAAGCTGGTGATCAGCCGTTTCCCCGTAAGATCTCAGCATGTGGGAAAGTGGACTCAACCATGTGCATTAAGAGGCAAAATGGCAGTGTTTGGTGTATGATCTTCCTCTAGGAACCATTGACTGGTAAGGGAAAAATGCCTCAAGTGAGCATGTGCACATCTTTAGTAAACACACTGCGCACGCAGCCCCTCCCATGTGCTGGCAGGCCACTGCATATGTGCACAGCCCACCCCATGGGAAGAATCAGAAGAGAAGAGATGCAACACCCTGGAAGCCTGTTAATGTATAAAACCTCAAGTAAAAGGTCAAACCAGGCACTTGGATCTCTCAAATCACCCACTTGGCCCTCTTCCAAGTGTACTTAACTTCGTTTCACTCCTACTCTAAAACTTTTTAATAAACTTTCATCCAGTTCTAAAACTTGCCTTTGTCTCTCACTCTGCTTCATGCCCCTAGGACAAATTATTTCCTCTGAGGAGGCAAGAACCAAGTTGCTGCAGACCTGTATAAATGTGCCACTGCTAACAGCATAATTAAATTAACAGAACCAACTAGCTCATTATTAGAGCAGTAGGCTATATACAAGTAAGTGGTAAAGAATAGATAGATTAATGTGGTACTAAATAAGATCCTGTGTAGCAGGAAACATTAGTAAAAATTCCTGTTTAATTTAATATGGATACATATTGACACATGTTGATATATATTGTGTCAGTATACAAAGAATGCACAGATATATCTGTTTGCACTTTCTGTTAACAAAGCATCAAATCAATAGATTTCAAAGTCACAATGTATACACCCAGTGCCTGGATCTTCATTCCTTTCCTCCTCCTTCTTTTTTTTTTTTGAAACAGAGTCTGCCTCTGTTGCCTAGGCTGGAGTACAGTGGCACGATTTCAGCTCACTGCAACTTCTGCCTTCCGGGTTCAAGCAATTCTCCTGCCTCAGCCTCCAGAGTAGCTGGGATTAAAGGGATGTGCCACCACTCCCAGCTAATTTTTGTATTTTTAGTAGAGACAGGTTTTTGCCATGCTGACCAGGCTGGTCTCAAACTCCTGGCCTCAAGGGATCCACCCACCTCGGCCTCCCAAAATGATGGGATTACGGATGGAAGCCACTGCACCTGGTCCATTACTAATTCCATTCTCTAACTTAAAAAAATCTAGAACTTTGTGAACAAATGATTAATACAAGGCTTAAATAGGGAATAAGCACAATTAGCCTGGTGCACCCAGTAGTCCCAAAATAATAGAAAATGCTAAACAACAAAACAACCAACCAACCACACATAAAATTGCAGACACAGGTATTGGAAATTAATAGAGTATCCAACTGAAAAAATTTCCAGTGACATTCGGCCTGATTCCATCATTACACCAAGCCCTTCCATGGTTCTGAGGATTGCAGTCTTGCACTTAGGTGCACTATCAGCATCCCTGCATTTCCTGCTTCTAGAGAGCCTTTTGTGAAAGATCTCAGCCTCCATATTTATGCGATCAAATACCATAAAGTAAATCTCTATGTATCTACCTACCTACCTACCTATTCTATTGCTTCTGTTTGGAGAACATTAACTAATACAGATATTGGTAATAAAAATGGTTCTAGAGAAACGACATTTTTAAAATGACCATCCCTAATTGGTGTGAGGGTTTCTAGAATTGGCTCTCAATCTGATTACACCTAAAATTCTAACAATGCTACTTTTTTTTTTTTTTTTTTTTTTGAGACAGAGTCTTGCTCTGTCACCCAGGCTGGAGTGCAATGGCACGATCTTGGCTCACTGCAACCTCTGCCTCCCTGGTTCAAGCCATTCTCCTGCCTCAGCCTCCCAAGTAGCTGGGATTACAGGAACCTGCCATCATGCCCAGCTACTGTTTGTATTTTTGTAGAGACAGGGTTTCACCATGTTGGCCAGGCTGGTCTTGAACTCCTGACCTCAGGTGATCCACCTGCCTTGGCCTCCCAAAGTGCTGGGATTACAGGCATGAGCCATCACGCCTGGCCACAATGCTACTTCTAATAGAAAAAGAACACTGATAGTCCATGGCACGAACTGTTCATAGAGACATGCAAAGTATCTGCATTTCTCACTCCTAATCAGTTTCTTTAGCTGATTGGCTGAAGTAAGGTAAGAGGCAAGGAATTTGGTGATCTTTGAGCATTTGTGAAAAACCAAGGAAGATAATGTCATTGTGTGTTTGCTTCTCATGTGCCTTGGCAAAGAGATAAAATGACAGGAAGTGACTAGATATTCAAATTTCCAGAATCTTCTCTGCATAAATAGCCTAATAGCTTTTAATTGTGCTCTGAGTCAGATTCTTCCCTTCTCTAGTCAATGGGGCTGAAATTGCTAAAAGTCAAACAGAAGCTCTCATCATGAAAGTGGCAAAATTACAAAGAAAGTTTAACTCTCAGTCTGGCAAGGTGTCTAAAGTTTAAGTGAGAGCAATGGTTAGGAAATAATGGGATTCTGTAAAACGGGGAGAGGATAGTTGGGAAGACACTGATGATGCGGGAACATTGAACTCCTAAATTCTAATGAATTTTGTTTGCCACCAGCAGTGAACTTTTTAACCCTACCCACAGTGGAAGCAGCTTTCCCACGTACAATGATGTAAGCCTTGTATCCCCTGTCTGAAAGGATTAAATATTTATTTACCTATGGAAATGATAATGGACTCACCTGAGGCAGTTGCCAAGCAAGACAATGGTGATTTTCATTAGGACTGACCACTGACAGCACTGTTTCTATAATAGAACTATATCTAGGTGCAAGTTTCAGTGGGATCTTAAATATGAGGTACAAATTGTTACTTATGAGGATGTGCACTACATTTAAAAAAAAACCTACTTGAATTTTTTTTAAAAAAATATGTATCAACTAAAACCTTCAGAAAGTCTGTGGAAATGGATCTTAAATGGCAGCAAGGTTGTGGGATAGTGGAAGGAAAATAGCGTTGGATCAAGTTGAATTAATTAACATGGCCCATTAATGTTCCCGTTTGGGGAGTCACGAAAGGTTCTAATAGTTTTTTTAGCTGATCAGCTGAAGTAAGGATAAAAAAATGGCCGACCATGAGCAAGTTGTGCCATCTATCTTGGTTTACCACAGAGGAAGGTATGCAAAGGCTTAGAGACAGATTAATGTTAGAGTGAATTTGTTATTAAAACCTATTCATTCACATTGGAAGGGTCCAGAAGACCTATCATTTACCAATACTGTGAGAAATAGATTCGTGATGGGATCCCCAGCATCCCTGAAGAGCTCTGTGGATGCTTTTCTCTGTAGGACAGATCTTACACTGAGAACCAAAATCAGTCCAATGAAAAGTTTAAATGCAATGAGAATAAGTGGATCCAGGGGTGGCAGGAACCAAGCAGTGGTCCTCAACTATCAAAAGCAAGGGGGCATTGTTATGGTAATGGAGAGCAAAGGCAAAGCAACAATAAGAACCATCTGACTCCTACAGATCTATGGACTTAACCAGTTATCCACAGTTTTCCTAGAAGTGAAACAGGTAAGAAGCTGACTAAATCCTTATTTGATCTCTCTAAGCAAAACACATGTTCGTGTCCATGAACACAACTCTAACTCAAATGATAAAAAAGAAAAAAAAAGAATTATAGACCCACAGTCAATTCCTAGACTTGAGCCAATTTACAGTCTCAGAAGCTTTCCTTGAAGGGGAGGCAGAGATCCTCCAATAAAGACAGAGGTACACTACCAAAACTATACATTAATCTTCCTCCCACACTTTCCTAAAAAGACTTACCACTTTTTATTAAGGCAATTGTTTACTGACAAAAAGGAAATAATCACATCATTTAGGGATGTCTGGACACTTGCTGTGAATGGACATTGATTCCAGGTGACCTGAAACATCAATGTTCCCTTCCAGATAGAATTGGCGCTAATGGAGGTCAGGTGGTCAATGATGTTTTAGCTCATGTCCTAGTCACAGTGTGTCCATTTGGTCCCGAAACCCATCCTCTGTTAATTTCCGAGTTCCCCAATGCATAGTTGGAATAGACATACTTAGCAGCCTACATCTTTGCCACATTGGTTTCCAAAGTGATGTTGTGAGAGATATGAAGGTGGAAAATGCCAAATTGTTATAGGTAGTTAGGAAGGCATGAGCAGGGTAGAAGAGGGCTGTCTCCCCCAACTCACAAGGAATAGCAGGCGATCATCAGATGATTGCTTAGCAGTTATCACATTGCCTCTCTAAAAATGATAATTTGGCAGCCAGTGCCAGGGACAGACAATCTCCTGATTGCCCAGAGCTGTCACACTAAAGTGTTAATTGAACGCAGGTGCCGGGGAGAAACAACTTTCCAAATGGATAAAAACACTTCCTAAACATACTGCCGCATGTTCACTTCCCAAGCATGAGGAGGGC
This sequence comes from Homo sapiens, assembly GCF_000001405.40. Lineage (NCBI taxonomy): Eukaryota > Metazoa > Chordata > Mammalia > Primates > Hominidae > Homo > Homo sapiens. The sequence goes on along the minus strand of NC_000015.10, from coordinate 24,069,276 downwards.
ACTGTACAGGTCCACAGCCCACCCTAATGGAAGAATCATGGGAAAGGGGAGCAAGACGCCGAAGGTGGGCCAGCATATAAAGTCCTATGATCAAGGTAAGACACTGTACTTGTCCTTCAAGTTGCCCACTTTGTCTCTTCCAAGTGTACTTTCCTTTCTTTCCTGCTCTAAAGGTTTTTAAAGTTTTCCAAAAAAAAAAAAAAAACTTCCACTCCTGCTCTGAAACTTGCCTCTGTCTCTTTTTCTGCCCTATACCTCTCAGTTGAATTCTTTATTCTGAGGAGGCAAGAATTGAGGTTGCTGTAGACCCACATGGATTCACCACTGGTAACTTGGAGACCTACCCCTAATGTATTTGGTGCCTTGTGACTCACTCAGATCATTCCCTAGTGTTAAGAGAGCTCTGTGCCTCACCTTCTTTGGCTGGAGGCATCTGACCCAGAGCATGGTTTTTTTTCTTCCCTTTCCCTCTCTCTCTCCTGCTTACAAACCAACACGCAGAGCAATTCCTCTTGGCCATAGTTGACTCTGCTCCCCCAGGCTGATTTCTCAGCTTACCCAGACCAGTGGCTTGTGGGGGTGTGAAGGACCTTAGGGTCCACACCCAGCAGATCGGAAGCACTAATGGCCATCCTAAACAGGAGGCTCATGAGATTGGTGAGGCTAAGGCCTAAAAATCACGCAACGTCTGGGGTTTCCTTTGCCTTTATTAAACTACAATCGGCTCTTTTCCAAAAACCTGCACCACCCATTTTCTGGTTTTCTCTGTGTGTTCTGCAATGGGCTAGCGCACACCCTGGACCTTCTGCCTTAGGAGCAAGTCTGCCTCTTTGTTTTTACTTTGCATGCCACGGGACTTCTAAACACACACTCCCTGTTATTCACACCCTGCGGCTCTCTACATTGTATGGCAGCAAAGACACAGGCTCCCTGGTGGATATCCCCTGAGGTTTATATTTGTTTTAACCAGCTCAGGTGACCTTCAATCCTTCCCCTGCATGCTGGCACATGGCCAGGACAGACTCTAATTGGAACTCTGGCTCTGCTGGCATCTTATAACTTACCACGTGCTTTTCAATTCCCGTATGCCACCACGGGGCCAAGTTTCTGATGGCTTTTAAAAGCAGTTTGCCTGCATAGGGCTTCATTCTGGCCCTTTAAGAATCCCACCCGCTTGCTTTTTTGAGATAGCACTACTATTTTGGGAGGAGAAAAAATTCTCCCTTTGCTGCTTGTGAGTTCTTACCCGAAGCCCTAAGTCTTCTGGAGCATACTGCTTTATGTCCAGAGTGTGAATAAACATTGCTGTCTTGAATCCAAGGACTGTTATTTACGTGAGCATGTGAAGGCTTTCCAGATGTAGGAGTCAGATGGTTCTTTTTCCTCTCACTTCCTTCCACTTCCTCCTCTAGGCTTCATTTCTCTAATTACTTCCATGCCCTTCTCAACATGCATCAAGACCTTTAAAGACATATTCTAAGGGAGCAGGGAGGAAACTCAAGTCTCTGTGGCAGCTGAAAAACACGCTTCTGAGAAAAGAGTTACTCATTTTATTGTTAAAATACTCTGAGTGAGAGTTGCTATAAGGTCATGGAGACAAGGTCAGCCAGAGGCCACAGATGCAAGAGACCCATAGGACAGAGACAAAGGGTGGTCACAGGCCAACAGATTACCACTGGAACAGAGATGAGAGGCTCAGGTGGTACATGTTAAAGACCAGTTCATTCCGGAACCCCAAAGATTAACAGGGGCCCACTACTGTTCACTCCAGCATCTCCTCTGTTTTCAAGTGGGTAATTGTGTTGAGATGGGACCATTGGTACACAGTAAGACTGGTTCATTCTGGAACCCAGGACCATGGGGGATGCCCCATTCATGATAATAGAAAGAAAGGGATCTTCTTTTTCCTCTTTCTCCTCTGCTATCTCTTCACAGATGGGTTATCACATCTCTATACGACAGGACATGCTTCTTGGATGCATCCCCCAAACCTGGGAATAGTTTAATTTCCCCAAACCTTCAGCTGGCTTAAAAATGAACTAAGAGGAAAATTATAAAAGTCAGCATTGGAACCCAATGACCCTGTGCAGAGGTCCTCAGATTAGCCTCTTCAGTCTTTTATAACTAAGAGGAGAATAAGGAGGACAGGGCTAAGGAGAACAAGGCAAATGGCATCCCCTCCCTCCAAAAGAAAAGTTTCACACCTCTTTATATTACTTAAGGGACCAATTACCATTCTCCCACCAGTCCCTGGTAATGTCTAAATACCCAACAACTCTTTGGGAAAAAATATACTTTCTAAGATCTGTACTAATTTAATATTTATCCAACCTCTGAACTCCTCTTTCTAATAGCCTATTTGTCTCCACCTAAATCATTAACCAAATCTATAACCTAAACAGTGCTACATCAGGGGTCCAGAAGTAGCCCACACTTATTCAGACAAGCCCTGGCAAAAATATAACTGAGCAATCTCTTGAGAGGGGATAACTTCTACAGTATGCAGATAGCCTCTTTATCTGCTCCCCCTTCACAGGACACACACAGTAATAGGCAGTACAAATCTTAACTTTCTAATGGGAGGAAAATGACTTTTGTCTAATTCAAAAGTTATAAAGGTAAAAAGGTATTTTTGGTAAAGACAGTTTTAAAGAAAAGAAATTTTATATAAGAAAGGATCCTGTATGGTAAATTCTTGTCCTAAAGTAAAATACTGGTTGTTTAAATAGAGGGATATTTAGGACAAGTCAAAAGGTACAAACAAGTTGTAGATGGTTTGTGTATTTCATGGAAGAATTTGTGAAACAGAATTTATGAAAGAAATGTACAATTTAAAGGTTACCAGGCCTCATAAATGCTTCATAAAATGCCAGTGTGACTCTCAACTGCACAACTTAACTACTTTATGGCTAGTTAAGGCCTGGGGTCATGTGGAGTTAGCCATGACCCTAGCTATGCTGGAAAGAGTCAGACCTATCTGCACTCTGGTTTCCTAGGCTCCACACCTGGTACATAAGTAAAATTGCTTAATACCCAGGTTTTTCACCAAAAGTAAAAGTTGCTAAGAGTTAATGATGCAATTGAAACTACTGAAGAAACAGCTTTACACACAACTGTGTGTAGAATGTCCTTTTGGTAAAAGATTATAAGAAGGCATGGGAATGTAGATTTCTTGCCTAACTACAGAGGGCTAAAGGATTGTTTTAAGTAAAATAGGAAAACTCTGACGGTTTGAACAAGTTGTGGAAGGTTTGTGAACAACTAATTATAAAATAGGTTCTGTGTGTAAACATATTGGGGAAAGTTAAAGGGGTATTATTCAGTTTTTCCATAAATTGAACATTGGAATAAAAGAACAAGAGAGTTTCCTTGGAGCATCAACCTTCTCTTTGGCAAAAAAATTGTAAAGGATTATAAAAGACTTCTTACCTTATGGTCAAACTGATTAAAATTGAATAAATTTGTCTACAAGGTTTTATTAATAATTGACTTTAACATTACTAATACACTAATGCAAAGGTGAGATTTGGCTTTCTCTGTGGAACAAGAATTTTTTAATATTAAAAGATAATGAAAGATTTTCATTTTCCTTTTGAATAAACTGTAGGAAAAAGAAGAGAAAGAAAAGAGACAAATTGGAAAGCTAAGTCTCCCTCTTAATAGGGTAGAGGTTTTTGCGTTTATAAAATTTTTGAGTTATTATTTTGTTTAAATGAATGACCTATGGTAAACTCACATTTATTTTGTGATATCAAGTGATTCAAAGTTTTGATATCTGACAAACCTCCAAAAATTAAATTGTAAATTATCTTTTTCTGACCTAATTAATCTTTAACATACTATGCCTTCTAAAGTCCAAAAATGACATTGGCTTCTTTCGTATAAAAATCAAAGAGGAAGCATTGTCAAATATGACATGGTTTTTGGTTTTCCTTGGGCTGTATTTGTATAAATATGTTACTGATATGTGTTCCAAAGTTATGGAATTCTGATACAACTTAGGGCACATTATTAATAGTCAGAATTGTTATGTAAAATTGTTGTGTGCCACAGAAGTAACAAATTTCCGTCAATTGTGCCTTTAACTGTGGCTGTCCTAAAACTTTTTGTTATTCTCAGACAATTGTTGTCTTGTTTTAATCCTCTTCAAATGTAGTTTATGATTGGTTCCAGAACTTTCATAGGTGTTCTTTAGTGCAGGTTTCTGATAACTTTGGAGATTGTGACATTAGAATAAAGGAAAAAAATCCTTTCAGGACTCTCACGGAGAGCTGAAATGTTCATGAATATCAAGCAAAACAGGAGTTAACTGCATGGACTAAACTAATAGAAGTCTGAAGTAATCTTTTTTAAATTTTTGTTTAAAACATTGCTGATCTTTGAAGCAATTGTGAATGGGAGTTCAATCATGATATGTAGAAAGCTGAAACTGGATCCCTTCCTTACACATTATACAAAAATTAATTCAAGATGGATTAAAGACTTAAATGTTAGACCTAAAACCATAAAAACCCTAGAAGAAAACCTAGGCAATACCATTCAGGACATAGGCATGGGCAAAGACTTCATGCCTAAAACACCAAAAGCAATGGCAACAAAAGCCAAAATTGACAAATGGGATCTAATTAAACTAAAGAGCTTCTGCACAGCAAAAGAAACTACCATCAGAGTGAACAGGCAACCTACAGAATGGGAGACAATTTTTGCAATCTACTTATCTGACAATGGGCTAATATCCAGAATCTACAAAGAACCCAAACAAAATTAAAGAAAAAAACAGCCCCATCAAAAAGTGGGTGAAGGAAATGAACAGAAACTTCTCAAAAGAAGACATTTATGCAGCCAAAAGACACATGAAAAAATGCTCATCATCACTGGCCGTCAGAGAAATGCAAATCAAAACCACAGTGAGATACCATCTCACACCAGTTAGAATGGTGATCATTAAAAAGTCAGGAAACACCAGGTGCTGGAGAGGATGTGGAGAAATAGGAAAACTTTTACACTGTTGGTGGGACTGTACACTAGTTCAACCATTGTGGAAGACAGTGTGGCGATTCCTCAAGAATCTAGAACTAGAAATACCATTTGACTCAGCCATCCCATTACTGGGTATATACCCAAAGGATTATAAATCATGCTGCTATAAAGACACATGCACACGTATGTTTATTGCGGCACTATTCACAATAGCAAAGACTTGGAACCAACCCAAATGTCCAACAATGATAGACTGGATTAAGAAAATGTGGCACATATACACCATGGAATACTATACAGCCATAAAAAAGGATGAGTTCATGTCCTTTATAGGGACATGGATGAAGCTGGAAACCATCATTCTCAGCAAACTGTCTCAAGGACAAAAAACCAAACACCACATGTTCTCACTCATAGGTGGGAACTGAACAATGAGAACACTTGGACACAGGAAGGGGAACATCACACACCGGGGCCTATTGTGAGGTGGGAGGCGGGGGGGCGGGGGATAGCATTAGGAGATATACTTAATGTAAATGACAATTTAATGGGCACAGCACACCAACATGGCACATGTATACATATGTAACAAACCTGCACGTTATGCACATGTACCCTAGAACTTAAAGTATAATAATAATTTTAGAAAAAACATCGCTGATCTTTTTTGTTTTTCAGAGCCAAGAAAACTTTTCTTTTGAGCGATTTAAGGCTTTCCACAATTTCAAGGAGTAAAGTATATTCCTGTGAACAATATATATACATAATAAAAGCACATATGATATGGAAGAGGGGAAGGGAAGTGCTGGGAAGAGAATGGTGTGGTCCCTTTAAATGATACAAAATGGTGGAAGGGCGTGGTCCCAGGCTAGGGCTCCACCCCTGGGCCTGTGCCCATGAACCTAGGTTAGAATAGGCATTTTTGTTTTCCTGCCCAACTGTTGCATTTCCCAAGACAATCCTGGCCTGCCACACCCCCATCCTGTGCCTATAAAAACCCTGAGACCCTAGTAGGCCGAGGCACAGGCAGCTAGTCAGTGGAGGAACACACGGGTGGCTGGACATCAAGAGTAATACACCAACAGGCACTGGCATGCTGGCCAGTCACAGACCGGCAGAATGACACGAAGTTTGGCTGGGGCAGTTAGAGGAGAGCCCAGGCTGCCAAGCAGCCCAACTCCAGGGGAAAATCATCTCCCTTCTGGTTCCCCCATCTGCTGAGAGCTACTTCCACTCAATAAAATTTTGCACTCATTCTCCAGTCCTACGTGTGATCTGATTCTTCCGGTACACCAAGGCAAGAACCTCAGGATACAGAAACCCCTCTGTCCTAGTGATAAGGTGAGGATCTAACTGAGCTAAATACACAAGCCACCTATGGACGTCCAAACTAAAAGAGCACCCTGTAACACACGTCCACTGGGGCTTCACCTTTAAACATTCATCCCTAGACACTGCCGTGGGGTTCAAGCCCCACAACCTGCCCGACTGTATGCTCTCCTAGAGGTTTGAGCAGGGGGGGCACTGAAGAAGTGAGCCACACCCACACCACAGGCCCTGTGAAGGGGACAAGGCAACTTTTCCTGTTTTGTGTATGTGTGTTTATCAGTTTAAAGAGTAGTTCAACTCAAACATAGATATCCCCTTGACCCAGCAACACTTGATCAAAAAGTTTCCATACTGAATTAACTTGACATTCTTATAAAATCATGAGATCATAAAGGTAAGAGTTAACTTTTAGACATTCAGTTTTATCCCATCGAGCTATATGCCTATTTTTTAATTTACTTGGTTTTTTCTGTTTTTAATTCTTTTTTTGTTTTGTTTTAGACATTTGTTTCCTACATATACCTATTCTTGTACTACAAATGTGTTTTCTGTTCATTCTATTAATGTATTGCATGGCACTAATGGTTTTTGTGTATTGAACCAAATTTGCATTTCTGAGAAAAATACCCTGGGTCATATGGTATAATAATTTTTACACATTTCTAATTTGTTTTGCTAGTGTTTCTTGGGGATTTTTTCTGTGTTTTTATCGCATATTAGTCTTCATTTTTCCTTTTTTGAAATGCCCTTGCCTTGTTTTCTTACCAGCATAAACTAACTCATAGTAACTGTTGTAGAGTGATTTCTTCTCCACTGTTTTTATTACTGGTGTTGTGGTTATTTTATTTTTTGGAACAATTTGTGATAGATTGATGTTATTTATGATTTACAATAATTTATCAGAGAAATCATCCCAGTGAGGGGAGAGATGTGAATCCTAACAACAATCACATGACTTTGAAAGTGGTTTCTTCCCCCACTGATCCTTCAGTTAAGACTTCGGCCTTGGTCATTATTTCCAGTTGAATTCTTGACCCAGAGAAACTGTGATTAATGTGTGTGTGGCTTGGAGCCGCTAATCCGTATGTTAATTTGTTTTGCAGAAACTAGAAGTATTAACCTGACAACAAATGTAATTTGGTATCCTGGATTACATTTAGGTACAGAAAAAAGTCATTATTAGGAAACCCAATGATATGAAGAACGTCTCTACTGCAGTTAATAATATTGTAACATGGTCCATTTCCTAGTTTTCATGAATAAACTACAGTTATAGAAATGTTAACATTCTAGTTGGCTGAAGGATTTATGAAACTCGTTTGAATATGTGTACATCATTCTGTAAATCTAAAATTATTTCAAAATTTAAAAATGTTTTCCATAGTATTACTTTGGTCCAAGAAGAAAACAAAAACAATGGAGGACATAAGCAGAACACCTACTCCTCAGGAGATGGATATGTAGGGAGAGAATAGCTGAACAGCTTTCCTTATCTATCCAACATTCCATATACACATGCACCTACTTCAGTACAACACCAACAGTCTCCAAGGACTCTCTCATTCATTTCTACATTCACCGTCATATTCTTCACTACCCAGTAAGGAGTAAGCACTGCTTCATAGATTGGTGCCTGTGCTTCACTCATCCCCACAACCTCCATTTTCACATATTGTTCAGAAATGTGTCTGCAGAATTTCACTAAAGCCTTTTTGGAAGACATAACTTCTGGACATTTGGTGCCAAAATTGAGAAAGTCTAGTGTCACAGAATTGAAATCTTACTTCAGCACTCAGAAGAGCATTTCCTTGGGACAGGGATTCCTTCTTTGAGTGATCAAAAAATAACTTTACCTTCAAGATTTTTTTGGGGAAAAAAAAACCCTTCCATAATTTCTTTTCATTCTAAGGTCTCCATGATGAATTCTCTAGAACCATTTATTCTGTTGACACTTACACTGTAGAATTATATTACCCATTGCTAACACGAAAAAAATCCACAGAATAGGTATGGCCATGCAGATACAACATAAAAGCTTACAACTATGGTGGTTTAGGTTAGTCCTTGCTTACAAAGACCTAGACATACATCTCTACCAGGTGTTTTCCAGGTAAAGGCTAGTGAGTGATATACATATACTGTGCATAGGTGGAGAAAGTGCCATACGAACAGAAAAAAGAACAGACCGGTTACAACATATCCCAACTTCACCATGCAGTGATCCAAAAGATGAACACAGGATGACTGATGATTCCGTGTATGTTCCACATTACAACAGAGATGTTGACCACTCATTCCCCACAGGATGCCCTGTCACAGACCACAGCACTCTGTTGGGTAGCAGCAGCACTGTCTCCAGAAACCATGTTTGCAAAGACTACAAAGCTTACAAACCATACTGTACACTCTACTCCTAGTATCCACAAAGTCAAGTATCTTGTTTTATGTTTAATATCATGGGTTATATTCTCCATACCACAAAGTTTCACATAGTTTCAGTGAGAAAATGAGTTTCTGTGACCTGGAGTAAGAGAGAAAGCTGATCTGGACCACAAACCTCAACTGTAAATCAGGATAACAGTTATTTAGGTGCAGTTATGTGAGCATTTGTTACTGAAGAAAGATTGTAACTTCATATTCATACTTCACTCATTAAGACATGACAGCCTCATTTAAATTCCACATCTTAACATATCAAGGGTTATTCCATTTATTTTTTTTTAATTTATTATTATTATACTTTAAGTTTTAGGGTACATGTGCACAATGTGCAAGTTAGTTACATATGTATACATGTGCCATGCTGGTGCGCTGCACCCACTAACTCGTCATCTAGCATTAGGTATATCTCCCAATGCTATCCCTCCCCCCTCCCCCCACCACACAACAGTCCCCAGAGTGTGATGTTCCCCTTCCTGTGTCCATGTGTTCTCATTGTTCCATTTATTTAGTTTTAACTGGATATTGTATAAGAGGTACCTGACAAGTCAAATCCTCCTTCCCTCTTCAATTACATGCATCTATTCTAATGTATCATGATGTAGACTGCAAATACAGTGACTCACCTGAATCTAGGATAAAAAAAAAAAACCAGGCAGTCCATAAGTGAGACACTAGTAGATCTAGATGGAAGGGATGCATTTAAATGTGGCAAATCAGGATCAATTAAATTATAAAGGTCAGAATTTTAAAAAAGCAGGCAGTAAACAAAACTGTACTAATATGATGCCACATGCACAGATGACAAAGTACAGTGAAGCAAAGCACCAAACTCCCCAGTAGAAAGGAAGGTATGATTTTCCGCAGTATATTAAACCACCAGATTTACTAGTAGCTTGCCTTTTCAAGAAGCTGTCATGAAAACAAGCCAGATTCTCAGACCACATCATGAAGCAATTACCCAAAACTCTACCCTTATCAGAAGTTAGTGTTCAGTGAATGAATGGCCTGTATATTTGAGATGATAACTGCATGTTCACGTAATTCATAATTCCTGGAGTGCACTTCTCTAGGTAAACTTTCAGTCAACATCCTACATTGTAAACTCTAAGGGTTTATCACTTAATCCTAAACTGCATGTTTCCTTCTCAGTCAATACATTCATGAGGGAACACCAAAAGTTATTCCTATATTCAATAGCCCCAAAGTGGAGTTAACCAGAGTAGTAAGGGGGCAGAACAAAATATTTTATAAAGACCATAGGATCACCTAGTTCACAGTGACTGATCATAAGGTAATTTGTGTAATTACCTGCTATGTGATTAAAGGATCAGCATGAGGAAGAAATATGAAACATATGTTACGGATGAAAGCATTGAATTTCTATTGCAGATTGTAGCAAAACATTGCTCATATTTCTAGAATAAGGAAAGAAATGTGAAATATACAGCTTTTCCCAAGTCTTTAAAAAACTATCACTCCAGTTATTTTCAAATAACTAACTCTTCAAAATATCTATTTTGTTTCTCAATGAATTTCACGAACCATGGTATATAAAACAACTTCCCCATACAGACAATAGGAATTCCAATACTCCAGTAAAAGAATCTGATATTTTTAATAGCTAGGAAGAATATAAATGGAGGTGGTTAAATTTGTGAAAATGCTTTGATACATGTTTTCTCAATAATAGACTAGAATACAGCAGATGTGCCACCCTAACTTAACAATGATTAATGGGCAGTCGCAGAGAAAAAATGGTACGTTCCATTCATCCTAGAGTGCACATTTTCACATCTTTCAAATAGAGATGAAGCATTTTACATTTGATAGTGTTAGGACACTATTGGCCAGAAGGCAGTTATAATGTAACTGTCCTCACGTACACACACATGAACCTGGCCTAAGGATCTTCCATTGATATCTTTGGATAATATCAACAAACTTGCAGAGGAGGTGTGATAAGGTTGGAAAGATAATCTCACAAAGAGTAGTCCAGGACTCCCATAAGAAATGCAGTGGCTGGGGACAGTGGCTCATGCCTGTAATCCCAGCACTTTGGGAGGCCGAGGAGGGCAGATAACTTGAGGCCAGGAGTTCAAGACCAGCCTGGCCAAACATAGTGAAACCCCATCTCTACTAAAAATACAAAAAAAAAAAATTAGCCAGGTGTGGTAGTATGCACCTGTAATGTCAGCTACTTGGAAGGCTGAGGCAAGAGAATTGCTTGAACCCAGGAGTTGGAGACTGCAGTCAGCCAATATCACGACACTGTACTCCAGCCTGGGCAATAGAGAAAGACACCATCTCAAAAAAAAAAAAAAAAAGAAAGAAAAAGAAAGACATGCAGCATCACCAGATCACCAGTGCTTCTGACTACCACAGAATAACTAACCATGGATTAGTGAAGTAAAAATGATTTCAAAGACTTTGCTCTGAATTGAATAAATTTTAGGCATACCTTTGCTTCTATGTTCTGTGATTATAGGAGTGATACAAGACAAATATCTACATGAATGTAAGTTCAAAAGAGGTTTTTCCAATAATTGTAAAATCTTGAAGTGATTCTGACATCATGATTTCTAAAATGTTAAATAATAAGTATTTGTTTCATTACCTGTTAGTGCTTTTATTTTTTCATTCTGATATATAAAATAATGATAAAATGTTACAGTTGATTCAGTAATACATCTGACAATTAGAAAAAGTTGTCATACTAGCTAGCATACGCTATGTGTTTTAAATGTAATTAGTTCATACAATCCTGCCAACATTCAAGAAGTAGGCGCTATTACCATTCCCATAGTCCAACACTGAATCTGATCCAAACACTCTGAAAGAAAAAGTAGAAGAATCTGACCTTGATTCAGTCTGTCTCCAGAGGCCTAGCTCACATACACTATGTTCCAATGTGTATTCCCATACATGGTAAATACTTCCTAGGGGTAGTTGCAGGACTCTTACCCTGCTTTATGGTCATGAAGATACTTTCCTAAGTTGTGTTATATACTGTTTTAAATATTTTTATATTTTGGCCTATGATCCACCTGGAATTGACTTCATGTGTAATGTGATGTCAAACATCAGGTTTTAGTTTCCCTCAAAGAATATTAAATTTTCTAGGACATTTTTATAAAAAACCATCTATTCCCATCCACTGACTTATAAAATATTTGATCATGTATATATATATATATATATATATATATATATATTTTTTTTTTTTTTTTTTCAGCTGAGTTTTCTTTTTTTACAGGCGTGCACCATCACATACGGCTTATTTCTGCATTTTTGGTAGAGATGGGGTTTCAACATATTGGCCAAGCTGGTCTAACTCCTGACCTCAACTGATCCACCTGCCTCGGCCTCCCAAAGTGCTGGGATTACAGGCATGAGCCCACATATTTACATCTTTCAAATAGAATGCGTAAAGAACTTGATACTCCGAAAACACTCTTGGCCAGACAGCAAATTGTGATTGCCCTTATTAGCACACACATGAACTTGGTGTAAAAACATTCCATAGTCACCTTCCAGTGATATTGTCAGCATCGAAACTTGCAAAGGGGCCATGAGCAGGTTGAAAAAATAATCTCACAAGAGTAGTACAGGATACTACTAAGAAATGTGCATCAACAAAGCTTCTGATTAGCAGAGATATTGATAATGTAAGGAAAATCCTGGATAAGATGTATTGAGAAGTGATTCAGAGTTTGATCTGAATGAGATAAAGTTTCAGGATACTTAATGTTAGTGTATTTTGCTTGTATTTCCCATCTCATATAAATCATACGTGTAATATAAAACAATTATCTACATATAATCATAGGTCGTGCCACTACACTCCAGCCTGGGTGACAGAGTGAGACCCTGTCTTAAAAAACAAACAAACAAAAAACACATTTTTTAAAAGAAGAGTTATACATTTGCAGAATAGTTACAAATGTAGTAGACAGTTTCCATAAACTCCACTCACAGTGCCTCTTATATTATTTATCTGGTACATTAATGTGGGACATTTGTCAAAACTAACCAACTAATACCATGTATTATCATTAAGTACTATACACACTTTATTCAGATTTCTTAGTTCTCACTTAATGTTATGTTTTAGGATCTCATCCAGGATATGTTATCACATTTAGATATCATGTCTTTAAGTTTCTCAGAGTTTCCTTGTTTTTGATGCCATTGACATTTCTAATTTGGGATTTCTCTGATGTTTCGCTCATAATGAGGCTGATCCCCACCCAAGGGTGTATAAGCATTCCCTTCTCACCTCATCCACACCAATATCTATCATTTATTGACTTTTTAATAAGAGCCATTCTGAATAGGGTAGGGTGGTATCTCATTGTGGTTTTCATTTGCATCCCAGATGCTGATTCATGTTGAACATGTTTTCCTGTGTTTGTTGGCCATTTGTGTATCTTTTGAAAACTATCTATTCATGTCATTTTCTCACTTTTTAATGGGATTATTCATTTTTTTCTTACTGATTTGTGTTTTTTGTAGATTCTTGATTAGTCCTTTGTTGGATGTGTACTTTTCAAATATTTTTCTCCCATTCTGTAGGTTGTCTGTTTACTCTGTTGATTATTTGCTTTGCTGTGCAGAAACCTTTTAGTTTAATTCCATTTATTTTTTTTATGTTGCTGTTGCTTTGGGGGTTTTAGTCAAACATTCTTTGCCCAGGTCAATGTCCAGAAGACTTTTTTTTCTAGTTTTTCTTCTAGAATCTTTCTGGTTTCACATCTCACATTTAAGTCTTTAATCCATCTTAGTTGATTTTTTTATATGGTGACAGAAAAGGATCCAATTTCATTCTTCTGCGTGTGGCTATCTTATTTTCCCAGTACCTTTTATTGTATAGGGTGTTCACTCTTCAGTGTATGTTTTTGTCTACTCTGTTGAGTATCAGTTGATTGTAAGTCTTCATTTCTGGGTTCTGTATTCTGTTCCATTGGTCTATATGTTTAAGTTTATACCACTGTCATGTTAGAGTGCCAGCAGATGTTGTAACGGACTGTATTTCTTGACCTCGGGCAAGGGTGCAGTGCTTGCAGGAGACAGCCAGCTGCAGTCATGGTGGTGGGATTTACGCTTAGCCTTTGTTACCCAGGGGAAGTACTCAGGTAGCAAAACAGGAATGCCTGTTCTGCTACTAGGGTAGGTAGAGGGGAAAAGCTGGGTGGGGAGTCAGGAAAGTCCACACTCTGGCTTTTCGAGTGTGGGCACAAGCAGCAGCCCAATGGGGATTGGTGGTTACTTTCCTGGCCACTGGGATAGGATAATGTTCCAGGGAGAAAGAGAATACGCTCTGCTTCACGAGGGTCTGTACATGCAGGGAAGGGTAGCAAATGGCAGGTCAGTTCCCACGACCTTGACACAGCAGGTCTCACACATGCAGACTTCTGCTGGCAAAAAGCCACAACAGCCAGCTAGTTCCAGGCAGTCCAGGCTCAGAAGACAAACCACAAGACTTCCCACTGGAGAATGAAACTGAAACAGTAGCTCTGAGGCCACACCCCTCGATTTGGCATGTGAAGCAGGAATACCCAGCTCCCGTGACCCTGGCAAAAGAATGCTTCCTGCTTGCGTTCTGGTCATAGGGGGTTCATCCCCTGTTCAATACTGGATTGCGCATGTCAGTTGGGAGCTTCTTACAATGTGTGACCACTGCCTGGGTTACCTGGATGTTTTCCACAAGGTTCCCCTATGAATTAGTATCAGGATTATCCTTCTTCTGTCCCTGCTGTGGTCTGAGAGTAGACACGCAGCACATCCAGGTGCCACTCCTTTCATGCTCCCCACCTCTCTAAGTCAGCTCCAGCGCTGGGTAGGGTTAAGGCACTTCCCCATGGACTGGATTGCCTGGCTCCCCAGTGAGAGTGTGTATCATGGAGACTGTCTCCCCCTTTTGCACTTTGAAGACTCAGTTTCCCATCTGACACATGGTGCGAGTTGCTGCCTGCTGCTCCTTTCAAATTATCCAAAGTTTCTTTCACTTTTTCTGTTGAGTTCCTGTGTTTGTTGGATACAAATTTAGTGTAAATCTCTGCACACTATTTTGCTGTTTAGAAGCAGGGAGGTGTGCTAACGAAGCCTCCAATCTGGCATCTTGAAACAAAAACCCAAGAAGACATGCTCCACTTTATGGGTAGAATGTCTACCAAAGTTATTTGGAACTTTCACCATGAACACTGAATATGTATGTATTCTCCTTTAATAATTATTATATTGATTCAGTCATTTTTTATGTCAGACCCCAAACACAGGTGTTTATTTTACCCTTTACTTTTATTACTTCATTTATTTGATTAAATTGTTGCAGTGTTGGCTATTGGATCATCTGTCAATTTTGAAACACCACCATAATTAAGCTTTGATGTTGTTATGTGGTTGTTTAGTTGTTTGCATTGTTGTTTGGCTTTTTTTTTTTCTAGCATTACTAGGTGCTCAGGCTAATGGTGCTGATTCCCGCGCAAGCCTGGTATTAACCTTTTTTTTTTTTTTTTTTCCACAGTTCCCTCGTTCTTTTTATTGGAAAGTTGAATTACAAATGGAGACCTGCGCCTGGACGTGTTCATCACTCCTGTAGCATCTGTATTCATGATCTTGCCTGCTGACAGATCAAATAAATCTACGTACACTGATTCATATATATACGTATGCATATATGGATATGCACACACACATATATGTAAGTTTATATATATGCACATACATACACATATGTATATTTTACCATGTATACAGTGATAAGGATAGTTCTTTTATTTAATCACATAATCCAAAAGACATGTATAGTGGTTTCAGAACTGGAAATGTATACTTGACCAACTGAAGTACTTATGGATAAATCTTTACCCTTTAGACTCAGAATATTCACTTGTTTGCTAAGTTACTTGGGTCCGCTGCTTTTCCCCCACTCCCTTCAGTGAGGTTATTTCACTGATAATGTTATACAGTCACATTATATGCATAGCCCCATGCTATCTCCTACCTACTGTATAAGATTTTTAATTTGCTTATTTGTATTATAAAGTTATTTAGGATTTGTAAAATATAATCATGTGTTTATCATTACAGTATGATACTACAATAATTTCACTTCCCAGAGGAGACCTGCTGTGCCTCACCAATTTGACCTGCCTCTCTTCCAAGCCCCTGGTAAATACAAAACATTTTATTGTCTCTATGCTTTTTCACTTTCCAGAGTGTCACATAACTAGAATCACACACATATTTTGCCTTTTAAAATTTGCTTTGTTTTTTTGCAATATGCCCTTTAGATTTGTGAAGTGTATTTCATGGTTGTTTAGATTTGCATTTTCCTAATGGCAGAAGACTTAGGCCTCACATCATGTGGTAACTAGACATGACTATAGTATCTTTGGAGATACAGCTATTAAAGTAATTTACCAATCTGATTGTGATATTTATTTTTAGTTGTAAAATATTTTTATATGTTGTAGATAATAGACCCTTTTCTGCTATGAGATTGCAAAGATTTTCTTCTATACTTTGTGTTATCTTTTTGCTTTTAATGATGTACTCTGATTTCCAAAAGATTTTAATTCTATGAAGTTCAATATATTCATGTTTTTTACTTAACTTTTTTGGGCTTTAGCTGTCATACCTTAGAAATCACAAATTATTGTTCAACCTAAGACCACAAATATGTATTCCCATATTGTCTTCTGTGGGTCTGGTATATTTAGCTCCTATATTTGGATATATGATCATTTTGGTCCAATTATGTGTATGGTGTGAGAGAGAAGTTCAATTTGTTTTGGATACTCAATTGTCCTAGCAACATTTGATGGAAACCTATTTTCTATATTCAATTTACTTAGCTACCTTGTAAAATCATTTCACCATAAAGGAAAAGGGTAATTTTTAGAATTCAGTTCTATTATATTTCTTTTATCTGTAAGTCTATGTTTACACTAGTACCACAAATCTTGATTATGATTGTTTTGTAGTAACTTTTGAAATTCGAATGCATGAGTCTACTTTGTGAACTCTGCTTTTCATTTGAAAATTTTCTGGCTGTATTGCATAATACATGAATTTTAGAAGCAGCTTGTCAAGTTAGAAAAAAAGTCACCTATTTTTAAAGAGATTGCATTACATCTATATGTGAATATGAAAAATATTGCCACTTAGCAATATTAAATCTTGTGTTCATATTTATTGACTATTTAGCCTGTTTACATACTCCTGTACAATGTTGACAACAAGTGTCAAGAGTGGTCCTGGTCTTGTTTCTAATCTTGTGGAAAAAACTTGAGCCTTTCAGATAAATTGTGATGATATGTGAGGTTTTCATGAATGCCCTTTAACGTAAAGAAAGTTTTCTCATAGGCTTAATTTGCTTTGTATTGTTATCACAAATTGATTTTGAATTTTTCAAGTGAATATTCCGCATCTTTTGAGATGATCATATGGCTTTTGTATTTGATTTTATTAATAAAGGGCATGACACTAATTATTTTATATGTTGAACCAAATTTGCATTTCTGAGCCAAATACCCTTAGTGATGGTATATAATTCTTTTTACATTTGCTGACTTGTTTTGCTGGCACTTCCTTAAGAATATTTGCTTCAATAGTTACAAAACATATTGATCTTAATTTTTCTACCTTGCAGTGTCTTATTTTAGTTTTAGCATCATATAAATTCACCAATAGTATACATTGGAAAGTGATCTCTTCTCCACTTCTGTCATTTTTGTTTAAGTTGTTTTTAAGTTTTAAGAATTTGTGATAGATTGTTACCAATTATTTTCAGGATTGAATAGTTCACCAGTGAAGTCATCTCAACCAGTACAGGGCCTTGACTCCTAACAACAATCATGAGCTTGGAAGAGGATCCTTCCCCAGTTGAACACTTAAGACCTCATTCTTGGCAATGATCTACATCTGAATTCAATGATCCAGAGAAACTGTAATGTGTGCATGTGGTTTTGAGCCATCTAGTATGTTATAATTTATGCAGAAATAAATAGCCCAGCCTGCACGGATGCTGGCGTGAATGCTCTCCCCCATTCTTACCACTGAATGTGGAGAATGGCTTCATGAAACTCAGCTAATTTGTGCTTGACTCTCAGTTCCATCTTCTTAACTCAAAAACTCAGAGTATCTTCAAAAGTCCATGCCACACTACAGGACAGAAACTCTCCCGAAGCAGTGTCTTGAGAAATTGGTAGGGCTCATGTCACTGTCTTGTATGTCTCAGATATCACTGTCCTTCATTGTTTGATATAATCTGTTTTACAAGCCATTGTTCCACTTGTTTTGCCCCTTTTTTTGTTTGTTTATACATGTGGTATAGCAGTCTAATCCTCACAGGGAGAGTATCAGAAAAGAGTTTTGCATTATCTAGAGTTGTGGGTCATTGGGAAGCAGCTTAGAACCTACCTGCCACATCAGTTTCTGTCCAATATGCATCAGTTTCCCCATCATTATTTATTTTGTTGATGTCGACCCTTGTGAACTTACAAAGTATTTTTTAGCCTGTATCACACAATATGGATGTGTTAAATTTTCTCAAAATTTGACTAAGATTACACATTAACTTACACACATATTTATCTAACTTTGACGACAAAAAACCTGAACAGTATATTATTTAGAAATACAAATATAGAAAATAATAAGAATGAGGGAATGACAAAGCGAATTCAATGTTATAGTAACATTCACCACGGTAAAAGAGAGGATGGAACATATGTGATGCATCAGTAATATATATACAATATTTGGTTATTAATCTTGACAGTGGATTAAGACAAAGAAAATGCATTTTTTCTATTTTAGAATAGTTTTAAGTTTACAGAACCATTGGAAGTCACTACAGAGAGTGTATGTATATTTATCCAACACAGGGTTTTCTTTATTAACTTTCTACATTACTATGTGGGATATTTTTTCACAATTATCACACCATTATTATACATTTTCATTCATTTAACAAGTGCACGCATTAATTGTATATTTTTTGCCTTAATGTCAATTTTCTGTTCCAGGATTCCATCCAGGATACCACAACATATTTAGATATCATGTCTCCTTGTGCTCTTCTCCACTGTGCCAGGTTCTCAAATTTTCCTTGTTTTTTTTTTTTTTCATGATACTTACACCTACATTTGGAATTTGACGTTTTTCTGATGATTCGACTGGTGTGGGTTTAGGTGAGGAAGACCACAGAGGATATGTGCCACTCTGATGACATTATACCAGTTATACGTATTAATATATCTATTTCCCCCTTTCCATGTTGTGCTTTTATTTTAAAGTCACTAAGTACAAAACATACTTCACAAGTGAAGAATTAGCTTTAAATTTTATTGGCAGTGCTTGCAGAAATATCATTTGCATTTCTTTTCCACAGGCAATTTATCTGTTCTCCATCATTTATTATATATTTTAAATCGATTATTTATATCATATGGGGTATTATATAAAATTATAGATAAGTATTGTAAGCTATACTTATACTAATTTATTTACTTTGCTGCTCAAATTGTTTCAGGGTTTGTCATTGGAAGGTCTTTCTGTCGGATCCTGTACCATATGGAATTGCCAACATGATTGCTGTTTGATTTTGTTTGTTTGTTTGGTTGGTTGATTCTGTTGTTCATTAGCATGATTTTACTTGCTAGCACTTTAAAGTGTTCCAGGCTTATTGTGTTGTTTCCCTGCACATGCCAGATACTATTTTTCAAGGAATCATAGTTTCTTGTTTTTGTGCATGGTATTAGAAAAAAACATTTGGTCTATGTGTGTTCCCATTTCTACTAGGGATCTGTTGATTCTACTCTGTCATCCAACAAGGCAATAGAATATATGTGTGTATACTAACTCTCACATACACATATAAACACAACATATGTGTATCTATAAACGCACACATATTTCTACATTTGATCATATATATGTATATAAAGTCAAACATGAATTCCTACTAATGTCCTCAGTACCACATGATGTAATCCAGTACCCTATGAATCAATTTTTTCATTTCTACTACTTGTAGGTAATCTCTCACATTTTTTAAGACATTTCCTTTATTAAGTACAGCATTGAAGGTCTCACACAGGTTTTAACATTTGTTATTTAGATCATAATTTTATAGACATATTTACATATCTAGCAATAAGGTTTTTTTTCTTTTTCTTTTTTTTTGTTATACTTTAAGTTTTAGGGTACATGTGCACAACGTGCAGGGTTGTTACATATGTATACATGTGCCATGTTGGTGTGCCGCACCCATTAACTCGTCATTTAACATTAGGTATATCTCCTAATGCTATCCCTCCCCCCTCCTCCCACCCCACAACAGGCCCCAGTGTGTGATGTTCCCCTTCCTGTGTCCAAGTGTTCTCATTGTTCAATTCCCACCTATCAGTGAGAACATGCGGTGCTTGGTTTTTTGTCCTTGTGATAGTTTGCTGAGAATGATGGTTTCCAGCTTCATCCATGTCCCTACCAAGAACATGAACTCATCCTTTTTTATGGCTGCATAGTATTCCATGGTATATATGTGCCACATTTTCTTAATCCAGTCTATCACTGATGGACATTTGGGTTGGTTCCAAGTCTTTGCTATTGTGAATAGTGCCTCAATAAACATACATGTGCATGTGTCTTTATAGCAGCATGATTTATAATCCTTTGGGTATATATCCAGTAATGGGATGGCTGGGTCAAATGGTATTTCTAGTTCTAGATCCCTGAGGAATCACCACACCGACTTCCACAATGGTTGAACTAGTTTACAGTCCCACCAACAGTGTAAAAGTGTTCCTATTTCTCCACATCTTCTCCAGCACCTGTTGTTTCCTGACTTTTTAATGATCGCCATTCTAACTGGTGTGAGATGGTATCTCATTGTGGTTTTGATTTGCATTTCTCTGACGGCCAGTGATGATGAGCATTTTTTCATGTGTCTTTTGGCTGCATAAATGTCATCTTTTGAGAAGTGTCTACTCATATCCTTCGCCTACTTTTTGATGGGGCTGTTTTTTTCTTGTAAATTTGTTTGAGTTCTTTGTAGATTCTGCATATTAGCCTGTTGTCAGATAAGTAGATTGCAAAAATTTTTTCCCATTCTGTAGGTTGCCTGTTCACTCTGATGGTAGTTTCTTTTGCTGTGCAGAAGCTCTTTAGTTTAATTAGATCCCATTTGTCAATTTTGGCTTCTGTTGCCATTGCTTTTGGTGTTTTAGACATGAAGTCCATGCCCATGCCTATGTCCTGAATGGTATTGCCTAGGTTTTCTTCTAGGGTTTTTATGGTTGTAGGTCTAACATTTCAGTCTTTGATCCATCTTGAATTAATTTTTGTACACGGTGTAAGGAAGGGGTCCAGTTTCAGCTCTCTATGGATGGCTAGCCAGTTTTCCCAGCACCATTTATTAAATAGGGAATCCTTTCCCCCCATTTCTTGTTTTTGTCAGGTTTGTCAAAGATCAGATAGTTGTAGATGTGTGGCATTATTTCTAAGGGCTCTGGTCTGTTCCATTGGTCTATATCTCTGTTTTGGTACCAGTACCACGCTGTTTTGGTTACTGTAGCCTTGTAGTATAGTTTGAAGTCAGGTAGCGTGATGCCTGCAGCTTTGTTCTTTTGGCTTAGGATTGACTTGGCAATGCGGGCTCTTTTTTGGTTCCATATGAACTTTAAAGTAGTTTTTTCCAATTCTGTGAAGAAAGTCATTGGTAGCTTGATGGGGATGGCACTGAATCTGTAAATTACCTTGGGCAGTATGGCCATTTTCATGATATTGATTCTTCCTATCCATGAGCATGGAATGTTTTTCCATTTGTTTGTATCCTCTTTTATTTCATTGAGCAGTGGTTTGTAGTTCTCCTTGAAGAGGTCCTTCACATCCCTTGTAAGTTGGATTCCTAGGTATTTTATTCTCTTTGAAGCAAATGTGAATGGGAGTTCACTCATGAGTTGGCTCTCTGTCTGTTATTGGTGTATAAGAATGCTTGTGGTTTTTGCACACTGACTTTGTATCCTGAGACTTTGCTGAAGTTGCTCATCAGCTTAAGGAGATTTTGGGCTGAGATGATGGGGTTTTCTAGATATACAATCATGTCATCTGCAAACAGGGACAATTTGACTTCCTCTTTTCCTAATTGAATACCCCTTATTTCCTTCTCCTGCCTGATTTCCCTGGCCAGAACTTCCAACACTATGTTGAATAGGAGCGGTGAGAGAGGGCATCCCTGTCTTGTGCCAGTTTCCAAAGGGAATGCTTCCAGTTTTTGCCAATTCGGTATGATATTGGCTGTGGGTTTGTCATAAATAGCTCTTATTATTTTGAGATATGTCCCATCAATACCTAATTTATTGAGAGCTTTTAGCATGAAGGGCTGTTTAATTTTGTCAAAGGCCTTTTCTGAATTTATTGATGATGATCTAGTCATGTGGTTTTTGTCTTTGGTCCTGTTTATATGCCGGATTACGTTTATTGATTTGCATGTGTTGAACCAGCCTTGCATCCCAGGGATGAAGCCCACTTTATCTTGGTGGATAAGCTTTTTGATGTGCTGCTGGATTCGGTTTGCCAGTATTTTATTAAGGATTTTTGCATCAATGTTCATCAGGGTTATTGGTCTAAAATTCTCTTTTTTTTTGTTGTGTCTCTGTCAGGCTTTGGTATCAGGATGATGCTGGCCTCATAAAATGAGTTAGGGAGGATTCCCTCTTTTTCTATTGATTGGAATAGTTTCAGAAGGAATGGTACCAGCTCCTCCTTGTACCTCTGGTAGAATTCGGCTGTGAATCCATCTGGTCCCGGACTTTTCTTGGTTGGTAAGCTATTAATTATTGCCTCAATTTCAAAGCCTGTTATTGGTGTATTCAGAGATTCAACTTCTTCCTGGTTTAGTCTTGGGAGAGTGTATGTGTCCAGGAATTTATTCATTTCTTCTAGATTTTCTAGTTTGTTTGTGTAGAGGTGTTTATAGTATTCTCTGACAGTACTTTGTATTTCTGTGGGATCGGTGGTGATATCCCCTTTATCATTTTTTATAGCATCTATTTGATTCTTCTCTCTTTTCTTCTTTATTAGTCTTGCTAGTGGTCTATCAATTTTGCTGATCTTTTCAACAAACCAGCTCCTGGATTCATTGATTTTTTGAAGGGTTTTTGTGTCTCTATCTCCTTCAGTTCTGCTCTGATCTTAGTTATTTCTTGCCTTCTGCTAGCTTTTGAATGTGTTTGTTCTTGCTTTTCTAGTTCTTTTAATTGTGATGTTAGGGTGTCAATTTTAGATCTTTCCTGCTTTCTCTTGTGGGCATTTAGTGCTATAAATTTCCCTCTACACACTGCTTTGAATGTGTCCCAGAGATTCTGGTATGTTGTATCTTTGTTCTCGCTGGTTTCAAAGAACATCTTTATTTCTGCCTTCATTTCATTATGTACCCAGTAGTCACTCAAGAGCAGGTTGTTCTGTTTCCATGTAGTTGAGTGGTTTTGAGTGAGTTTCTTAATCCTGAGTTCTAGTTTGATTGCACTGTGGTCTGAGAGACAGTTCATTATAATTTCTGGTCTTTTACATTTGCTGAGGAGTGCTTTACTTCCAACTATGTGGTCAATTTTGGAATAAGTGCAGTTTGGTGCTGAGACGAATGTATATTCTGTTGATTTGGGGTGGAGAGTTCTGTAGATGTCTATTAGGTCCGCTGGTACAGAGCTGAGTTCCATTCCTCGATATCCTTGTTAACTTTCTGTCTCGTGGATCTGTCTAATGTTGATAGTGGGGTGTTAAAGTCTCCCATTATTATCGTGTGGGAGTCTAACTCTCTGTGTAGGTCTCTAAGGACTTGCTTTATGAATCTGGGTGCTCCTGTATTGGGTGCATATATATTTAGGATAGTTAGCTCTTCTTATTGAATTGATCCCTTTACCATTATGTAATGGCCTTCTTTGTCTCTTTTGATCTTTGTTGGTTTAAAGTCTGTTTTAACCGAGACTAGGATTAGGATTGCAACTCCTGCCTCTTTTTGTTTTCCATTTGCTTGGTAGATCTTCCTCCATCTCTTTATTTTGAGCCTATGTGTGTCACTGCACGTGAGATGGGTTTCCTGAATACAGCACACTGGTGGGTCTTGACTCTTTACCCAATTTGCCAGTCTGTGTCTTTTAATTGGAGCATTTAGCCCATTTACATTTAAGGTTAATATTGTTATGTGTGAATTTGATCCTGTCATTATGATGTTAGCTGGTTATTTTGCTCATTAGTTGATGCAGTTTCTTCGTAGCCTCGATGGTCCTTACAATTTGGCATGATTTTGCAGTGACTGGTATCGGTTGTTCCTTTCCATGTTTAGTGCTTCCTTCAGGAGCTCTTGTAGGGCAGGCCTGGGGGAGACAAAATCTCTCAGCATTTGCTTGTCTGTAAAGGATTTTATTTCTCCTTCACTTATGAATCTTAGTTTGGCTGGATATGAAATTCTGGGTTGAAAATTCTTTTCTTTAAGAATGTTGAATATTGGCCCCCACTCTTCTGGCTCGTAGAGTTTCTGCCGGGAGGTCAGCTGTTAGTGTGATGGGCTTTCCTTTGTGGGTAACCCGACCTTTCTCTCTGGCTGCCCTTAACATTTTTTCCTGCGTTTCAACTTTGGTGAATCTGACAATTACGTGTCCTGGAGTTGCTCTTCTCAAGGAGTATCTTTGTGGCATTCTCTGTTTTTCCTGAATCTGAATGTTGGCCTGCCTTGCTAGATTGGGGAAGTTCTCCTGGATAATATCCTGCAGAGTGTTTTCCAGCTTGGTTCCATTCTCCCCGTTACTTTCAGGTACACCAATCAGACGTAGATTTGGTCTTTTCACATAGTCCCACATTTCTTGGAGGCTTTGTTCGTTTCTTTTTATTCTTTTTTCTCTAAACTTCTCTTCTCACTTCATTTCATTCATTTGATCTTCCATCACTGATACCCTTTCTTCCAGTTGATCGAGTCAGCTACTGAGGCTTGTGCATTCAACACATAGTTCTCATGCCATGGTTTTCAGCTCCATCAGGTCCTTTAAGGACTTCTCTGCATTGATTATTCTAGTTAACCATTTGTCTAATCTTTTTTCAAGGTTTTTAACTTCTTTGCCATGGGTTCACACTTCCTCATTTAGCTTGGAGAAGTTTGATCGTCTGAAGCCTTCTTCTCTCAACTTGTCAAAGTCATTCTCCATTGAGCTTTGTTCCATTGCTGGTGAGGAGCTGCATTCCTTTGGAGGAGGAGAGGCGCTCTGATTTTTAGAATTTTCAGTTTTTCTGCTGTTTTTTCCCCATCTTTGTGGTTTTATCTACATTAGATCTTTGATGATGGTGACGTACAGAGGGGGTTTTGGTGTGGATGTCCTTTCTGTTTGTTAGTTTTCCTTCTAACAGTCAGGACCCTCAGCTGCAGGTCTGTTGGAGTTTGCCGGAGGTCCACTCCAGACCCTGTTTGCCTGGGTATCAGCAGCAGAGGCTGCAGAACAGCAGATATTGGTGAACAGCAAATGTTGCTGCCTGATCATTCCTCTGGAAGTTTTGTCTTAGGGGTACCCGGCCGTGTGAGGTGTCAGTCTGCCCCTACTGGGAGGTACCTCCCAGTTAGGCTACTCAGGGTTCAGGGACCCACTTGAGGAGGCAGTCTGTCCATTCTCACATCTCAAGCTGCATGCTGGGAGAACCACTACTGTCTTCCAATCTGTCAGACAGGGACATTTAAGTCTGCAGAGGTTTCTGCTGCCTTTTGTTTGGCTATGCCCTGCCCCCAGAGGTGGAGTCTACAGAGGCAGGCAGGCCTCCTTGAGCTGCAGTGGGCTCCACCCAGTTTGAGCTTCCTGGCCACTTTGTTTACCTACTCAAGCCTCGGCAATGGCAGGCGCCCCTCCCCCAGCCTTGCTGCCGCCTTGCAGTTTGATCACAGACTGCTGTGCTAGCAATGAGTGAGACTCCGTGGGCGTAGGACCCTCCAAGCCAGGCACAGGATATAATCTCCTGGTGTGCCGTTTGCTAAGACTGTTGGAAAAGCGCAGTATTAGGGTGGGAGTGACCCGATCTTCCAGGTGCCATCTGTCACCACTTTCCTTGGCTAGAAAAGGGAATTCCCTGACCCCTTGTGCTTCCCAGGTGAGGCGATGCCTCGCCCTGCTTTGTCTAGTGCTCAGTGCACTGCACCCACTGTCCTGCACCCACTGTCTGTCAGTCCCCAATGAGATGAACCCGGTAACTCAGCTGGAAATGCAGAAATTATCCAACTTCTGCGTCACTGACACTGGGAGCTGTAGACTGGAGCTGTTCCTATTTGGCCATCTTGGAACTGCCCCCCTCTCCCACTTTTGACAATGAAACAGTTCACCTCCTTTGCGTAATTATTGAGTTCCAAAATACTTGCATAGTGGTTTCCAAATTGGTGGTGGAAAGTGTCTGCACCAAGTAAGATGCTCACTTGCAAATCACAAATGTTTTAGACTGTGAATCTCCTCTTATTTCCTAAGTTACTTTGGTCAGTCTCTTTTTCACCCACTCCCTTCATGAATTTTTTTCATACATGTGTTACACATTTATGTTATGTTGTCTGCACGGCTCCCTGGGATTCCCCAACCTACTAAGTAAGGTTTTTAATTTGCATACATCTGCATTCACACTTTGTGATGTAAAATTCTTCAGGATTTGAAAAATAGTGTCATTCACCCACTATTCCAGTATAATAGAAAATAATTTCACTGTAAAGAATATTTTTTACCTATTCAGCCTTTTTCTCTGAAGTCCCTGCTAACCACTAATCTTTTTACTGTCTCTATAATTACACTTTGTCACAATATCGTTTAAATTTAATTACCCACAGAATTCACTCTCCTCAAACTGGCTTCTTTTGCTTAAAAATATGCCTTTAAGGCCAGGTGCGGTGGCTCACACCTGTAATCACAACACTTTGGGAGGCCAAGGCAGGCAAATCACGAGGTCAGCAGATCGAGACCATCCTCTCTAACACAGTGAAACCCCATCTCCACTAAAAATACAAAAAAGTTAGCCAGGCGTGGTGGCAGGTGCCTGTAGTCCCACCTACTTGGGAGGCTGAGACAGAAGAATGGCGTGAACCCGGGAGGCAGAGCTTGCAGTGAGCCGAGATTGTGCCACTGCACTCCAGCCCGGGCGATAGATCGAGACTCCATCTCAAAAAAATAATAATAGTAATAATATGTTTTTAGTATTTGTGAAGTGTCTCTTGGTTCAGATTTGCATTTTAGTTGAAAGGTCAGGTATTGAGCAACTTTTCATGTGCTTTTTGGACATCTACATAGCATCTTTGAAGGAAAGAGTCTATTCACAATATTTACCCACTTTTATTTTTATTTATTTATTTTAAGTTGCATAGAAATGGGGTCTGGCTCTTCCACCCAGGCTGTAGTGCAATGGGGTGGTCACTGTAGCTCACTGTGGCCTCAAACTCCTGCACTCAAGTGATTCTCATACCTCACTGTCTCGAGTAGCTGAGACTACACGTGCATGCTACCATACCCCGCTAATAAAAAAAAAATGTGGGTACAGGGTCTCACTATGTTGCATAGACTGGGCTCAAATTCCTGGCCTCAATTGATTCTTCCATCTCAGCCTCCCAAAGCTCTGGGATTACAGATGTGAGCCACCGCACTCAGCCTCACCCACTTTTAATTAGGATATGTCACTTTTAATTTTTTAGTTGTGAGATGTTCTATGTATTTTGAACAATACACTGCTATCAGTTGTATGATTTGCAAACATTTCTCCCATTTTTTTAGGTGGTTTTGAAGGTGGACTTTGAATTATGAAGTCATTCCATTTTTTTTTTTTTTTTTGAGACAGGGTCCCACTGTATCACCCAGGCTGGGGTGCAGTGGCGTGATCTTGACTCACTGCAACCTCCGCCTCCGAGGTTCAAGAGATTCTCGTGCCTCAGCCTCCCAAGTAGCTGGGATTACAGGTGTGTGCCACCATGCCTGGCTAATTTTTGTATTTTTAGTGTAGATGGGGTTTCATTATGTTGGCCAGGCTGGTGTCAAACTCCTGACCTCATTTGATCCACTCGCCTCAGCCTCCCAAAGTGTGAGGATTACAGGTGTGAGCCACAGCGCCTGGCCTAAAATGATCCAGTTTCTTGGTTTAAAGGAGGAAGACCGCACAGAGAAAATGACATCACATCACATCAAGGTTAAATATTACTAACCTGGTTTATGACTATTGGTATTAATTTTATCACCTGGGTGAGATCATTCTTATCAAATTTCTCCATTGCAAAATTACTTTTTCCCCCTTTCCATATTGTATATTTCAAGAAAAAATGTGAGTATATACAACATACACTTAAGAAGTGGGCAATCACACTCTCCTCCTGATGAGGCAGAATTAAAACAAAACACAACCAAAAAAACCCTGTTTGGACGTGTGTCTATATTTCTTTGTATATTTATCCAATTATTTATTTAAATCAGTATACCAACATAGATATCTAATTTCCACTTATTACTTATTCCACTTATTACTACTTCATTGATTTTCTTGCTAAATTTGTTCCAGTGTTGGCCACTGATACCTCAATAATTATGGTTTGATGTTGTTATGTGTTTTGTTGATTGGTTATGTTGTTGTTTGTCATTGTTTTTAGTTCTGGCACTACTAGGAACTACAGGCTAAATGTGTTTATTCTCTTCACATGCCTAGTATTCACGATTTCTTCACATTTATTGGAAAATAGAATAAAAAAGAAGATCTGGGCACTCAATGGGTGTACTAATTATGCTTGGGGTTTCTGTTAAATCATGGCTTTCTTGGCTGACAGAGCAAATAAACATGTATATTTGTGAGCGAGTATACACTGATATATGTGTACAAAATTCTTTTTTTTATTTCATTATTATTATACTTTAAGTTTTAGGGTACATGTGCACAATGTGCAGGTTAGTTACATATGTACTAATATAAAGTTCTTCAGTATATGGAAAACATTATTATGTATCCACCATTACAGTATCAGAGAAAGTAATTTCACTGCCCAAAAGAAATCTCCCATACTTCACTGATTCAAACTTTCTCTCTCTCCCAAGCCCCTTGTTACCACTGAATTCTTTACTATCACCATATTTTTTCTAGAATCATACAAAGGGAATTATACAGTATTTTGTCTTTTCCAACTTCCATGTTTTTATTTAGCAATATGACATTTAGATTTTTGAAGTATATTTCATGATTGTTTAGATTTTCCTTCCACTAATAATTGCGGGACAGGTGAGCCCCCAAATTAGGGCTTAGACTGGGAAGGTTCTTAGTTTGCCCACGAAATTAATTTAAGGTTGAGCTGCTGGTATTAGACAGCAATTTTTTACTGAGTATTGCTTCTTCCAGAGCAGGAGTAACACATAGGCATTGCATCCAGAGTTGGCAACCTGTGACCTTTTGGCAACTGTATTTATACTAAGGTAAATCTGCTTTCAATTACATGCAAATTGAGGGGCAGGTTATTTAGGACTTTCTAAGAAAGGGGCAGTAACTTCTGGGTTGTTGCCATTGAAATTGCGGGTGGTTGCAATGGAATTTGTAAACAGTCATTGTGCTGTTGGGAGTGTCTTAAGGCAGTGAGCAATGAGGATAGCCAGGATCACTTTTGTCTCCATCTGCTGGTTTCTGGTGGTTTCTTTACTTTATCCTGTGTGAAACAGATCTTGTTTTGCTCAGTAGGGTTGTTAACAGAAAACAAGTCCTGCCATTCTCTCACCTCATAATGTCAAAAGGCACTGAGTGCCTTTTCATGTGATTTTGGATATGACAATAACTTTTTGGAGAGTTGGCTACTTGAATAACTTTCCAATTTGGATTGGGATATTTGCCATTTTATCTTTGAAGTGTAAGATATTGCCATATATTCTGCATAACAGACCATTATCAACTATAAAATTTGCATTTTCTCCCACTCTTTGGGTTTCTCTGTATTTGATGGTGTACTTTTAATTTCAAAGGTTTTCAATTATAATGAAGTTAAATATATATTTATTTTTTCCATCTTTTCCTGGTGCTTTCAGTGTCATATCTTAGAAAGCATTGTTTAACATAGGACTGCAAAGATTTATTCCTATGTTCTTTTCTACAGTTTGTACCTATTTAGCTCTTATATTTCAAGTATGATCATTTTGAGTCAAGTTTTCAGTGTAAGGCAGGAGTCTGACTTACATGTTGATACCCACTTCTTCCAGAAACACTTAATGAAAAAATTTCTCCATACCTAATTTATATGGCCGCAGTATACAATTATTTCATGATAAATTTAAGAATTTATTTTTGAGCATTATATGCTATTCCATTGAACAATATAAATAGATCCTTACACTACTACCATAAATTTTGATTACTCTTACTTTGTAGTAAGTTTTGAAATCAGGAAGTATGTGTCTATTATGCCAACCTTTTATTACTTTTTCTAGATTATGTAGGCTGCTCTGGCTGTACTGTATTATATATGAATTTTAGAATAACATTGTCAATTTAGGGGAAATTTAAGGGTCAGAACACACTAGTGAATTCTTCTTGATCAGGGCAGGGAAGTGAATCTGAAGACCAATCACATGAGCTTGGAAGGAGACCCTTCTCCAACTGAGCCTCAGCATGGGTCATCATCTACATCTGGACTGAAGACTCAGAGAAACTGTGAGTAATAGGTATGTGATTTTGAGACACTAAGGTATGTAGTAATTTGTTATGCACCAAGTAATAATAAGTAAAATACCTGACAGTAATTGTCATGTGGTATTCTGGAATAGGTTCTGGAATAGATAAATATATCATTATTAGAAAAGGTAGACATGTGCCATGGTAGTCTGCTGCACAGCGAATCCCATCACCTAGGCATTAAGACCAGCATCCATTAGCTATTCTTCCTGATGTTCTCCCTTCTAAAGGCTTTAGCCTTTTCTTTAGTCTTAAAGTATATTCTTGAAATATATTTTGAAACTCCACTACCTTCCATTTCCCACTGTATACTCCTTTGCCTTATGCACATTTATCTAACTGTATGTTTGTTAAATTCACACCATGCAAACTAACTATATGCTTTTTAAGAAATTCCAGAGGCTAATTTTAAATGAACTGAGCATAAAGCCCCAGCTGCAGAATTTTCCACCTCTTAATGATTGCCTCAGATGGATAATCTATGGCCCAGCTGCAGTTGAGACGGCATCTGCCTCTGGCTCCAGGTAGAACATAACTCATGGTAGGCATTGGAGAAAGACAAACAGTCCTTGAATTCTGCACAACTCTTGCACAACTCCCATGTCACATTTCTTTTTCTGTAGATCTCTGCCCTCACCCCAAAGTTTCAAAGTGGTCTACAAAGGTGTAATCCCACTGTTTCCCCACTGCTAGCTTTAGCAAATAAAGCCATGTTCCTTTCACTGCACTTCTTTGTAAGACTGTAGGTCTGCTTTCCAACGAATGGGGCAATTATCCTCAGAAGCACACCAAAGCTTAACCATTTATGCCACCAAAGGAGGCAAGGAACACTGATAAATGCTAACTGCTTGGGGCTAGCTGACCCCATGGTTGGGGCTCTAAAGAATTTCCCTGCACCTGCTGAGATGTTTTTGTCTTGAGGAACTTCCTTTCTCTTCTTGCTGCTGCACCAGCTACCTACTACGCTTCCTTAGCACAGGGCAAGTGACATCTGCAGAAACTGACAGACTTCAGAACGGGGTAAGTGAACCAAAATGCACCCTGAACTACCTACTCTGTGATGTCACTTGAGCTCTGCCCTGTTTAGACATAGCTGCTTGTGACCACCTGGGCTTGTATGGCATCTGTATCTTTGTCAAGACCTGAGCTTTGCTTCATTTGGCCTCAGCTGCTTGGCAGGGAGCATCTGATATTGAAATGAGGTTTCAGGACTTTTATCTGGCCCTTTGGTGGGGATCTGTCTGGGAGTATGCAGTCTGCACCTGCAACTGTATAAGTGTGTAATATCTACATTCAGGCCTTTATCTCTGCCTCTCTCCCCTCCTCACTCTTTCATCTGCAAGGTGGTCTCCATAAGCCCCACTCCATCCAGGATCCAGCCCTCAAGGAAACAGTCTCCACTGCCCTGGCTTGGTCATTCTAGGACCCTGGAGTACTTCTCACAACTGTGCCAGTTTTTATGGGGAAAGGAAGCATGTGAACCATTCCATAGGTTGTCTAAAGGGCTTTCTGCCATGCTTATGGTGCTTAATGTTTGTGTGAAAAAAAGCTTAACAGTATATGGGATTGGTATTTAGGCAGTCCTGACTCCAACCTCTTGCCCTTTTTGTCTGCCGAATTCACCATCTCTTTTGTTGCCATTTGGTTATCTACTAGAGTACTAAGTACAGCAGAACACAGACTTGGGATGAAGTTGATATTCTGGTTAAGGAAGCAGTGGGGGAGTGCTGTGCTAGCTGTTGCTAATTACCAGCCTGGCCAAGGACTTTATTCTCTGATCTCATTGGCTGTTCCAGCTGTATGGTCAGATTTGCACACATATGCCTTTTGGGTCCATGGGTGGTACTACTTGCACTGCATATATGAAGAGCTAGAAAAGTCTTTCCAACCCTGGAGTTATGGTTGAAGGAATGAGCAGTGCAGAATGGAAGAGAGACAACGAATAAAAGTTGTCATCACTGTTTCGACAGGGGTGAGCAGTATGGATATAAGAACCAAGCCAGGAGGGGAAACGAGGTCTCTATTTCCTTTGGAAGGCCCTGTGGTATATCCTAGCTAAATGTAGAGCCTATTGCTAATGTGTCTGTGACAGAGAAATGTTGCAATGCTGTTTGGACTCTCTACCAATTGGGTTATGAATTTTGGTCTCTGAATGTAAGTAACCCACACTGGACTGTAATCCAATTAGAGCCATTTTGTCAGAGGTCTGGAAAATGGAAAGTAATATCATATATCCAAGCCTTTATGCTGTTACATAATCAGAGTTCAGACCACAAGAAATGATGCTGGCTGCCAGCTGTACAGAAGGGTAAGAGGAGAAGGAGGTTCTTCACAAGCCATAGAGCCAAACTCAGCCAGAGAACCAAACTCAGGATAAAGAACTGTGTCTTTTTTTTTTTCTTTGATGGAGTCTCACTCTGTTGCCCAGGCTGAAGTGCAGTGGTGTGATTTCAGCTCACTGCAAGTTCCGCCTCCCAGGTTCACGCCATTCTCCCGCCTCTGCCTCCCAACTACCTGGGGCTACAGGCGCCTGTCACCACACCTGGCTAATTTTTTGTATTTTTTAGTAGAGATGGGGTTTCAACGTGTTAGCCAGGATGGTCTCGATCTCCTGACCTCGTGATCCGCCCCCCTTGACCTTTTAAAGTGCTGGAATTATAGGTGTGAGCCACTGCGCCCGGCCAGAACTGTGCCTTTTTAATGCTCTCCACCCAGCTGCTCCCACAGCTCCAGCCACAGCTGCAATCCTCCCTGCCAAAGCTCCATCTAGTTTGCCCAAGACGGCTTCCCTTCATTCTGGGGCTATTGCGTGAGTACGAGGGGTTAGGAAATACCTTAAGTATTTAATCTTTTGAGTTGAAATCTGGGCCTTATGTGTTGAGACCCTATACCCATTAGTTCACAGAAAATTTAGAAACTTAATGGTATTTTCATCTGAATCTCTTTTGGTTGGGCTGGAGACCAAGAAGTCATCCATATATTAGATAATAGTACCTTATTCAATTGTAACAATTCTCTAGCTGATGCATTTCCAAATAGATGAGTGTGTCCCTAAACCTCTAGGGAAGAACTATCCAAGTTAATTGAGAAATAAAATGACTAGCAGGATCAGCCCATTCAAATGCAAAGAGGAATTGCAAATCAGGATGTAGTAGATTGAAAAAAAAAAAAAAGCATCTTTAAGATCTAAGAGCTAAACTAATTGACATCCCCAGGGTCCTGGGCTAACAGCATGTAGAGATTAGTTACTATAGGAGGTATGGGAATAACAGCCTCATTGACAGCTTGAAGATCTTCAACAAATCTATAGTCTCCATTTGTTTTTTCAACAGGCAAGATTGGTGTATTACAAGGGGACTCACAGGGTCTTATCTATCCAAACTGCAAAAACTTAGCTATTAATGGCTGGATTGCACCTTTGGTTTAAAGGGGTAGTGTCTCTTCCAGGGGTATGGGTTACTAAGCTTAAGTTGGACACAAACCAGAGGAATGTTTAACACTTTGCCTGGAAACTCAGTGTCCCATACTATATGATTTACTTGAGAGGTTACTTTAATACATAAGCTAGGTAAGTTTCCTACTGAGTTTCCTCTCTTATCACAGGAAAGGAGAAGGAGCAACCCCTCCTCTGCCTTGCGATTTCCAAAGATACCACTGTTTGCAGCTATGTCAACAAATCCCTTCCCAACAAGGGGATGGGGCATTCACGCATGATAAGAAAGACATGTGAGAAACCAGAATCTCTGAAGAGAAGCTTTAAAGGATAGGTAAAGTGGCATATGAGCTTGTCCACATGTTCCCATGACCATACAGTTTTGGGGTGACGGATGCCCATTATAATGGGTTAAAACAGAGTAAGCAGCCCCTGTATCCAAAAGGAAGTTAATATTCTTATCTACTACTTCAAGGGCAAGTATCCATTAGCTATTTGATGCTCTCCCTACCCAACCCCACCCTTGACAGGCCCCCATGTGTGTTGTTCCCCCTATGTACCCATGTGCTCCCATCATTCAGCTCCGGTGTTTGGTTTTCTGTTCCTGTGATAGTTTGCTGAGGATAATGGCTTCCAACTCCATCCGTGTTTCTGCAAAAGGAGATAATCTCATTCCTTTTTATGGCTGTATAGTATTCCAGGGTGTATATGTACCACTTTCTTTATCCAGTCTTGATTCCATGTCTTTGCTATAGTAAATAGTGCTGCAATGAACATAGGTGTGCATGTGTCTTTATAACAGAACAATTTATATTTTGGGAGGTATATACCCAGTAATGGTCTTGTGGAACAAATGGTATTTCTGACACTAGGTCTTTCAGGAATCACCACACTGTCTTCCACAATAGTTTACCTTTTTTTACACTCCCACCAATGGTATAAAAGAGTTCCTTTTCCTCCACAATCTTGCCAGCATCTGTAGTTTTTCTGACTTTTTAATAATTGCCATTCTGACTGGCATGAGATGGTATCTCATTGTGGTTTTGATGTGCATTTCTCTAATTATCAGTGAGGTTGAGATTTTTTTTTCACGTTTTTTGGCTGTCTGTATGTCTTATTTTGAAAAGTGGTCATTCATCTCACTTGCCCACTTTTTAATGGGGTTGTTCATTTGTTCTGTTTTGTTTATTCAAATTTGTTTAAGTTCCTTGTAGACTATTTGACCTTTGTTAGACGAATGCATTGCTAAAATTTTCTCCCATTCTGTAGGTTGTCTGCTTACTTTAATGTTAGTTTCTTTTAATGTGAAGAAGCTGTTTAGTTTAATTACATCTCATTTGACAATTTTTGCTTTGGTTGCAATTGCTTTTGGCATTTTCATTATGAAATTTTGCCTGTGCCTATGTACTGAATTGTATTGCCTAGATTTATTCTAGGATTTTTATAGTTTTGAGTTTTACATGTAAGTCTTTAATCCATCTTGAGTTAATTTTTGTATATAGCTTAAGGAAGGGGACCAATTTCAACTTTTCTGCATATGGCTATCCAGTTCTCCCAGAACCATTTATTAGGTGGGGAATTCTTCTCCAATTGCTTGTTTTTATCAGGTTTGTTGAAGATCAGAGGGTTATAGGTGTGCAGTCTTATTTCTATAAATAAGACTGTGTTTATATGTTTTCTTATATTTACACCTAAATATAAGAAATAAATAGGCTTAACCCATAGAAAGTCAGATAGGAATATATACTTACAGCTTCAGGTTAAACAATGATTTCTATGCCATGAATGCACAAGCATAAGAAACAGATGAAAAAATAGATATATTAAAATTTCTCAGAATTAAACACTTTTATGACTCAAAGCATACCATTAAAAGACATCCAAAATATTGAAGAAAATCTTTTCAAGTCATATAGCAAATAAGCTTCTACTGCCCAGAATACATGAAAGCACCTTACAGCTCAAAAATAAAATATCAAAAGGTAAATAATCCCAATAAAAATAGTGAAGTATTTGAATAGTGATTTCTCCAAGGAAGTGATAGTCACATACAATAAGCACATCAAAAAATGCTCAATGCCTTTTGTCATAAGAAAAATGCAAATCAAAACAACTGTCAGATATATTTACAAACTTAAAAGGTATATTGATAGGTGAAAAAAGGAAGTTGGAAAAGGCAAAGTACCATGTAATTCTGCTCACATGGTACTCTGGAAAGAGCAATCACATGGAGACAGTAAAATTTAGTGGTTATTAAGGAATTTGGAGAGATGAAAGGAAAATATACATACAGAGGATTTCTTTTCCTCTGTACTGAAATTATTCTGTGTGATAGCGTAAATGTGCACACATGACACTGAGTCTCAAATGTTATCTTACATTATTACTAAGGGTGAGCATAAAAGTATGCAAATTAAAAACTTTATTCAGGGCCGAGCGCAGTGGCTTATGCCTGTAATCCCAGCACTTTAGGTGGCCGAGGCGGGCAGATCATGAGGTCAGGAGATCGAGACCATCCTGGCTAACACAGTGAAACCCAGTCTCTACTAAAAATACAAAAAATTAGCTGGGCATGGTGGTGGGCACCTGTAGTCCCAGCTACTCGGGAGGCTGAGGCAGGAGAATGGCGTTAACCTGGGAGGCAGAGTTTGCAGTGGGCCAAGATCGCACCACTGCACTCCAGCCTGGGTGACAGAGCGAGACTCCATTTCAAAAAAATAAATAAATAAAATAAATAAAAAATAAATAAATAAATAAAAACCTTATTCAGGAGGTAGGGGGATTCCAGAAAGAAATGTGACAAAAACATGTACAAATATATAACAATGGTAAGAAACAACCTCACTGAAGGGATGGGGAATGAGGGACTCATCTATGAAATAAGTAGTAAGTGGAGATTCTGAGTCTTAAAGTCAAAGGTTTTATACATAAGCACTGCACTTTAGTTGGTAAAGTTCTTTCCCATAGGGATATCAAGTACCAATTTTGAACTCACTATACCTGTACATATACATGTGCATCCCTAAATAAAAAAAAAATTAACATTTAAAATGCCACCCAGCAGAACGCCTCATCTATACAGGATGCACTTCCTGGTCCCTCAACTGCTCATGTTTCTTCTGGCCTACAAAAATATAGTGTACAGTGAGCTTCAAATCAAAACACAACATTATAGAAAGAAACTGAAACCATGCCACTGTTTGTTATTGGTGGTACATAAGGCAGGAGAATAGAACCCGGAGGAAGAAAACCTTCAGTTCCTAGAACTAAATCAAATGGAAAGAACTCAGCAATGACAGGAATGTGAATGGCTTTGTAACTTTACTTCATCCTCTCTATTTTCATAGGCCACACATCAAATAACATCCTCTCCAATTACATAGGGCACACACCAAGTAACCAATAGTAAACCTCTAGAGGGTCCTGAAACCCCAGAAAATTCTGTAACCAGGGCCCTTGAGCCACTGCTTGGGCCTGCTCCCACCCTGTGGTACATGCTTTCATGTCCAGTAATTCTCTGTTTTTGTTGCTTCACTCTTTCCTTGCTTTATTTGTGCAAAACTTTTGTCCAATTCTTTGCTCAAAACGCCAAGAACTGGACACCCTAAAGTGGTAACATATTTTGGTGGGCCAGATGGGAGGTAAGACCAAAGTTTAGGGTTTTTCTTTTTTCCCCTTCTTTCTCTCTCTCTCTCTCTCTCTCCCCCTTTCCAGCTCGGGACCCTCGGTGGATGGCACCTAAGCATGGAGAAAACTGCAAGTTTATGGCCAGGGCCACTCTCTGGTGAAACTGAAAGGTTTCCATGTGGAAGCGCCTGACTGCCAGGGCCAGGTTTGGGAATGGGACCTGAGTCCTTTTCCTTTTTCTGAATCCTATTCCTTTTTACCTTTTACTGAGGTCTTTTCTTTTCTTCCTTTCTCAGTCTTTCAGTGGCCATTTCCTAGTAGCTCCTTTGTAAGTGAGGGCAACTGGCTAGGGCCACTCTCTGGCATTGCCAGAGGCCAAGGAATGAACAGGGATGGTCACTTCCCCAGAACGGGGACTCTTTTCTATCCTTTCTAATTATAATTTCTGATCCCTACATGTGATGCAATTGGCAGCGGCAGCTTGTCCAGGGTGAACTCACACATTTCACCTATCTTTCTTTCTTATCTTTCTTAAACCCTCTTTCCATATGCTAAATTCTTCCTTTCCCCTACTCAGCCTGCTAAAGACAAGTCAGAGGGTTTGGGCATGTCGCAGATGGTCTGTGAGAGTGATTGGACTGATTCATAAAAGGGAATTTATGTACAATTTAATTGTACCTAAATTTAGTGAGTTAAATAATTAAGTGGGATAAAAAAAATCCAAAGGTTTGACTGAAAATTAATTCCACAAGTTGAGACCTTCATCCAGAAACAAGAGGGAAAGCTAATAGTAGACCATCAGTGGTGGAAGGAACCATTCCAAAGCAGTGCTGTCACCCATATAAGGTCAGAGATTTCTGACAGACTAAGATGAAGCCCAGTAGGGGGACACCAATGGGGACCCCAGTCAGGGCCCAGCATTTTTCCAGGGGGACACCACAAGTAAAATTTGGGTCACCTGATAAACCTTCCACTTTTCAAAGCACTTTTCCCTTTTCCAGACCACTATGGGCAACTCTCCCTCTATTTGACCTGATTCCATTGTAGACAGCTCTCCATCTGTTCCACCCAATTCCACTGTAGACAACTCTTTGTCTATTCCACCTGATTCCACTGTAGACAACTCTCCATCTATTCCACCCAATTTCACTGTTCTGTGATTCCCAATAGACAGGGACTATGCTCCAAGCCACCATGAAGCAGTTACAGATTAAAGCATTGGTCCCTCTGCCTCCATAAAGACTTATGAGGACCACGTCTTTCAGGGGGGAAATGAGGCAGGAGAATAGGGGCCTGGAGGCAGGGAACCTAAGGACTTCCTAGAACTAAATGAATGGAAACACTTCAGCAATGACAGGAATGTAAATGGCTTTGTAACTCCAACCTCTTCATTTACATAGGGCACACACCAAGTAACCAATGGGAAACCTCTAGAGGGTATTCAAACCCCAGAAAATTCTGTAACCAAGGTCCTTGAGCTGCTTGCTTGGGCCCACTCACATCTGTGAAGCATGCTTTCATTTTCAGTAAATCTTTGCTTTTGTTGCTTCATTCTTTCCTTGCTTTATTTGTGCAAAACTTCTGTCCAATTCTTTGTTCAAGACACAAGAACCTGGACACTCTCAACCAGGAATGTACAGGCACAGTCATGTGTCACTTAATGATAAGGATATGTTCTGAAAAATAATGAGCTGTTAGGTGATTTTGTCATTTTGGGAATATCCTAATGTACTTACAGAACCTGGAGAATATAGCCTATTGTCCTAGGCTACAAACCAATATAGCATGTTATTATAGTACTTGTATATGTAAACACACTTCAACATTAAAAAGATATAGTAAAATATGGTATAAAATATAGAAAATGGTATGCCTGTCTAAGACAGTTATAATGAATGGAGCTTGCAGGACTGCAAGTTACCCCAGGTGACTCAGTGGGTGAGTAGTGAGCAGATGTGAAAGCCAGGATGTTACTGTACACTATTGTAGACTTTATAAATGCTGTACACTTAAACAATAAACTTATGAAAATTGTTCCCCTATATTCAAGTATTAAAACATATCTTAGTTTAACTTTTTAACTTAATAAACTTTTTGATGTTTAAAGTTTTTGCTGTTTTGCAATAATAATTCGCATTATACATTGCACATCTGTACAAAATATTCTCTTTATATTCTTATTTTTGAGCTTTTATCCATTTTAAATTTTAAAGTTTTTCCTTTTAAACTTTTGCTTAAAACTAAGATGCAAACACACAGAATTTCTTAGGCCTTCACAGAGTCAGAATCATCAGTATCACCATCGTCCACCTCCACATCTTATTCCACTAGGTGGTCTTCGGGGGCAGTAACAGGCATGGAACTGTCCTCTCCTATGATAAAAACAACTTCTCTGGGGCCGGGCACTGTGGCTCACACCTGTAATCTCAGCACTATGGGAGGCTGAGGCAGGCAGATCATGAGGTCAAGAGTTGGAGACCAGCCTGGCCAACATGGTGAAACCCCATCTCTACTAAAACTACAAAAATTAGCCGGGCATAGAGGCGGGAACCTGTAATCCCAGGTACTCAGGAGGCTGAGGCAGGAGAATTGCTTGAGCCCGGGAGGTGGAGGTTGCAGTGAGCCGAGATTGCGCCACTGCACTCCAGCCAGGGCAACAAGAGGGAAACTCCATATCAAAAATAAATAAATAAATAAAAATAACTTCTTTGGCTACCTCACGGGAAGCCAAGATAGTGACACTGCTTTCTGATGGTTCAGTGTATGCAAGCTTTGTTTCATGCACAGTTATTAAAATATTGTATACAACTAGCTTCAGGCTATCTGTGTAAAGTATACTTGAAATATAAATGCCTGTTCCACTCCCACTGCTTCACTTGGCTAGCCTTAGAATTTTTTAAAAATAAAATAAAATATAAATAAATCCATGTATAGATTTGTATCCAATCTGTCAGGTCCTAATTAGCGAAAGGGAATCAGGCTGGAAGGACCAGGGGAAAGCAAAAGAGATAAAGCAAAGAGGCTATCAATAGGCCCTTCTGCATGTCCAGAAAATTTAAACAAGAGAAAGCAGGTAAGTTACAGGTCTGCTTTTCTTTATGGCCCAGGACATATGGTCCAAGACATATGGCCCTCCTGCTCAGATAACATATATAACTCACAACCTTCCTGCTTACTATGAGTTGCCTCAATTTATCAAACACCCCTGACAGAAGAATGCAGGTTAAGTGCCCTGCTACTTGGTGTTATCAATCAGCCCAAGTTCCATTCTATAAAATCCTCAGCAATCCTTTGTGTCCTCACAGTTAGCTTCCCTCATGCTAACTTGTCCGCTGACTTTTGTGCAACATATTTTCCTACTTTCTCTAATAAATCTAACCTATCTCTAGCTACGGCTGTCTTGGTAAAAATTCTTTTACCCCATGCACTGCTGTCCATTGTTCCTCTACATTTTAGTGGCCCATAAGGGGACTCTATTGTACAGGAACTCTCTCTCCTCACAAGGAACTCCCTCCCTTCTCTCTCTTTCCCTTTCCCTATTTTGGACCCTCATTGAAGAGTGTCTAAGCACAGAGACAATTGCAGGTTTCTGGCCACGACTATACTCTGGGACTGAATGGTGGGACTGAAGGGTCCCCATGTGGAAGCAACTGATTGCTGCTGCCTGGTTCGGGTGAGTGACCTGAATCCTTTTCTCTTTTCAGTCTTTCAGTGGCCATTTACTAGTATCTCTTTGACAATTGAGGGTAACTGGCCAGGGTCACTCTCCGGAGTTGTCTGAAGGCCAAAAAGTGAACAAGGATAGCCGCTCTGCCCAGAACGAGGGAAGGCTCTCTCCTCTCTTTTCTGGTTATAGTCCCTCATCCCTACATGGGAGACAACT
The DNA here is from genome assembly GCF_000001405.40 of Homo sapiens. Taxonomy (NCBI): domain Eukaryota; kingdom Metazoa; phylum Chordata; class Mammalia; order Primates; family Hominidae; genus Homo; species Homo sapiens. Next base: position 24,027,880 of record NC_000015.10, on the reverse strand, counting down.
GACAGTGGAAGCTTGTTTCAGGTAACTCATACACTCTCTTTCTCATTCCAAATTCTCTTGTGGACAGTCAGCCAGCCATCCTGTTCTGGACTTGCCAAATCAGATGATCTCAGACAGCCTAAGAATGATGAGCTTTCCTACTGGGCTGGAACCAGATGAAGATCTTCCTTTACCTTCTTTCCTCGTACCTAGGCTGATCACTCAGTGAGAGTACCTGGACTGGCCATCCAGCATAAGGCCCTTGAGGGGCCGAGTGGTCTTTTCCAATAGGTGGGTACACCTTTAATGTACCCGGAGTTCCTTAGGGCTGCTGGCCCTTGAGCAGCATGTTTTCCAGTCCAACCGTAAGACCAACCCTGTCCATTCCTGCAAACTCACTTAGGCTGTATTTTAAAGCACTGGGACAAATTCAACCCCCAAACCCTCAGAAAGAAACACCCTCTTATGTAATACAACATGGCTCATATAAGAAAAACCCTCAAATTGCCCTCCCTAGCCTAAATTTATAATGGAGAGCAAAATGAGGAGAAAAGGGTTAAAGAAAAAAGCAGAGACAAAAGGGAGGCTCAAATGTTGGCTGCTTTACAAGCCCCATCCCCTTATAGGTTTAGGTCCGAGGAGCTAAAGGAGAAAAACAAAAGGAAAAAAGGTGCTGGCTCCACACCCTACAGTGGCTAAGAGGCTCACAAGCTCTCCTGTAAAACGTATCCCTTTCTTCTCCACTCCTTTCTTTTCATTTTTCTGTCCAATCCAAAGATCCAGCCTTAAAAGGGAAAAAAACAGTTTCTAACATCTAACCCCTGATTTTGTCATTCTCTTTAAAACTCCAGCTGGTTACTTGTTATAGCCTGTTTCGGTGCACATTTTAAACGAATGGGCAAATCACTATCAAAAAAAAAAAAAAAATCAGAGCTCAAGTGTTTAACCTGCACTGTAAAGTAAAATTTGCTAAATAAAGCTATCTTCCCCTTTTCTTTTCTGCCTGCTTTAAATCTGCTTTCACTAAGCTGCTAGTGCTGAGATAAAGCTCATTGTTTATGGTCTATCTAAAATGTAAACATTAAAAACTCATTTGAAATTAAAGCATAAAAGAGCTTTTATTAAAACAAACTGCCATAAAGATTGTTTTACCCCAAATTTTGGTTCAAAGCTCTCCTTGGATTGCAAAGGTAGCCATATAAACAGGTTTCAATTTTATCAGAAAAATAACTTAAGTCAGGTATCTTTTATAGGTTAGTAAATTTGTAATACTGAATCATGGCCAAAATTCTAATGTAAAAGCTATTCAATCTTTGTATATATATGTATGTATTCATGTTTAAATATGTTTATGCAATGTACATGTTATCTTGTTTTTTTGTTTAGCATGCTACCCAACTGGCAATATAAATAAATCAGTACACATAAATCACGTCCAAATACTTTTCAAGCTCACAAGAGCCTTAAATAAGCCAGCTTTAAAAATTCTTGATAAAATAATATAAACAATGTCTTAAAAACTGTGAATATGTATTTTTTTGTTTGGGTTTATTGCCCTCTAAAAATTTCTCACACAATGGAATTCTGTCTTAATTCTCCATTTCTGTGTATTATATGATATATATGTGATGTTTATAAAAAAGAGCTCTTATTAATTGGATTAAAGAAAAATAAGTGCTTCAGGCCGGGAGCGGTGGCTCACGCCTGTAATCCCAGCATTTTGGGAGGCCGAAGGGCGCAGATCACGAGGTCAGGAGATCAAGACCATCCTGGCTAACATGGTGAAATCCCGTCTCTACTAAAAATATGAAAAACTTAGCTGGGCATGGTGGTGGGCGCCTGTAGTCCCAGCTACTCGGGAGGCTGAGGCAGGAGAATGGTGAGAACCCATTAGGCAGAGCTAGCAGTGAGCCAAGATTGCACTACTGCACTCCAGCCTGGGCGACAGAGCTAGACTTTCATATCAGAAAAAAAAAAAAAAAAGGGGGCTTCAATCAAACATATTGTCAAAAAATGGAAACTTTAATGGCTTTAGGTCACATGATTCTAATCTTTAAACAAAGACAGTTTTAAAGATTGTTGGTAAAATAAATGTCTTCAAAGTTCTGACATTTAATCTAAATTAGGCAAGCTAAGTACTGTTTGCTAAATGTTTCAAGACCATAAACTGCTTCTATGACTTTAATAATTGTTTAACTTTTCTGTTTTCCAGCGATTACATTCTAGGTAAGGCCTAGGAATATATGGAGTTAGGCAAGTCGCCTGGCTAGGCTTAGAAAAGTTATGGGCTTTGCAATCTTATAAATGGTTGAAGTTGCTGAATTACTAGATTTCTCACCAAAAGTAAAAGTTGCTAAGAGTTAACAGCGTAACATGTACTTAAACTACTAGAAGAGCAGTTTTAAGAAAAGTAAAATGTGTTTTTGGCAAAAGTTTGTAAGAAGGTATGAGAATATGATTTTTCTTAAAGGGAATGTAATTTTGTTTAGTTGAGAAGGTTTTAAGGATTGCCTTAACCTAAAAGTAATGGAATAAAACAGAAGGTTTAAGCAAGTTGTAATAGGTTTCTAAAAGGTTAATCTTGTAAAGAAAATTCTGTGGATCTCCTTAACAAATTGCTAAGATTTGAAGGAGATTGTTTAGTTTTTGCAGATATTAAATACTTTAAAGTCCCAAAAAACCCATATTTGGCTTATTTGGTATTAAATTCATATAAGAAACATTATCAAGTACAAAATGGTGTTTAGCATACTTTGAGTTACACTTATATAACTGTGTTATTGTCATTGATGTGTGTTCCAGAATTTTATAAGATTCCCATAATTGTGATATGTCTCAGTATACACTATCAGTAATAATTATGATTGTTACGTTAAATTATTGTGTGCCACAGAGATAACCAGACCTTAACCATGGGTGTTCTAAGACTTCTTTCATCTACAATTGTTTTACTTAGTTATTGTCAAGGTCGTTCTATAATCAGTTATAGAACTCTTAACAGGTGCTCTTGGATGTGGGTTGCTGATAACTTAAAAGATTGTGATATTAAAATAAATAGCTTCCAAAAACTCCAATTGAAAGCTAATGTGTTCCCAAATATTGAGCAGAGTAGGAGTTAATTACATAAACTAACAAAATACTAAAATCATCTTTTTATGATATTTGGATATTACTAATTTTTTATTTTTCAAACTCCAGAAAAACTTTTTAAGCTACTTATAGCCTTTTACAATTAAATGAAGTACAATCTCATCACCAAAAATCTGAAGCATATTTCTCCAGAATTTAAAAACTATTTGTAAGTATACTGAGTTTATGGCAGTATAGTTATTTGTATAAGTTCTTTAAGTATCTGTTTTCTTTTATAACAGGACACAACTGGAAACACTGGTTATTTTACCAAAGCTTTGGCTGGAATGGCATGCTTTCAAATATAAACAAATTGCTTTAAAGAAGCAAAGCTGACTTACAGAGCCAATCAAAGCTGGAAAAATTGGCCTCATACCTTGTCTTCAGTCCCTGTACAGGGTTTCTTGCTTGCAGTAAGTAAAGAATGTCACTTTCAAACAGGCCCAGGAACCCCAAGTTATTTTGGGTCCTCAAGAGGAGAGGAATTTACACAACTCATACAGGTATTTAATGGCACAAACCCACGACTGGGCTCAAGGCTTTAACATCTGAGATTCCTTATGGAATAAAGTTTCAGCAAAGCCAATTTTTAAAAAGACTATATATGAAAAATAATTATTCTTGCTGACTTTATGCAAACAGTCAAACCAAGTATAACATGACAAAAACTTATTTTGGCAATAGATTTGTCCTACTATAATTTGTCTTTAGTAAAAACAGGGACTGGAGAGAAAAATTATGTTTCAGAAAAGCTGTAGTATACCTGTTGTCAAATTCTAGTCTTGTCCAATGTTTTCACATTTTTCTTATTTTCCGTAGTTTTAACTGAATCCTACAAGTTCCCAATCTAATACTTCCCATTTGTTTTCCTTTCAGTTTTCTAACTTAAACTCAACAGAGCTCTTTGCTAAGGTCCTGCAAACTGAAACTCTATAATACAGGCAAGAGAAAGAAAAAAAATGCCACTGCCTTTCTCCTCTATAACTAAAATTGCTTTAAGTCTAACATCTGCATGAATTGTGCCCAATGCTAATCTTTGTTTTTTTTCTATTTACATAAAAATACCTCTTATTAGAAATTTGTCTGCCTTCATCATACGTAGAGGCCTGTAGGCTATCTTCTACATCAGCAAGTCCGAGGGTCTAATTCTTCCCTAAGGGCTTTAACACCAGCCCATTGCAATTACACTTCAACTATCATCAAACACACCAAAACGGGAGACGAGTTCACTACGTGTACCTCTGCAGGTTTTCTCTATGGTGGGGAAACAACGAAGTTAATGGCAGCAAAATTTGTAGTAATTCCTTTATGCCTATAAATAGTTCAGCAACCAGGATGGAATATGTAAGAACGGGGTCAAGACTAGACAACTTCTCAACCTCACTAATACATTTACAACTTTTCCTCAATTTTCTCTTATCCCACTAATATTTAAAAGTCTTTTCTATCAGGCTCCACTTTGTCACCTATAACAGTGCTCATATTCATTTATTTGCACCATGTATTATTCATGCAATATCTTGTTTTGTGTCTTCTAGAATGCAACAATTTTGAACCAAGAGGTTACTGTAGCGAAAATATCAGTCAGTAAGAGAAATTCATAAATCTCCTTTGGATGCAGCAGGACAAAATTTTAGGCTGCAAATGTTGTTCCCCTACTGTCCCACATCAACTCTGCCCAGTTTAAGTCCCAATTCAAGGATTTAGGCCCATGTAACCACCTGACCTACTAACAATCCTAGATGGGGCCAGCTCTACACCTCCAATCAGCAGGAAGCAGTTAGAAGATAAGACCTTCACCCACATGCCACACTTCAGGACCAGGGGAACAAAAAGAGTTAAAGCAAATAAGCTATAAATATGCCTTTCTCCATGTCCAGAAAATGTAAACAAGAGAAGGCAGATAAGTTACAGGTCTGCTTTCTATATGACTGAGGACATATGGCCCAAGACACATGGCCCTCCTACTCAGAAAACATACATAACTCACAAACTTCCTGCTTACCATCATATGCCTCAATTTATCAAACACCCCAGCGGACGCCAGCTGAAAGAAGAATGCAGGTTAAGTGCCCTGCTACCTTGACATTATCAATTAGCCCAGGTTCCATCCTATAAAATCCTCAGCAAGCCTTTGTTTCCTCACAGTTAGCTTCCCTCACGTTAACTTGACCATTGCCATCCTTGCAATGTGTTTTCCTACTTTCTCTAATAAATCTGCCTTTCTCTACCCATTAGTCTCTTGGTAAACTATTTTATCCTTGCACCACTGGCCATTGTTACCCCACACCACCATCCATAAAATATCTCATCATGTATATGAAAATATTCCAAAACCCCAAAATTCCAAAATCTGAAATACTTCTGGTCCCACACAGTTTGGACAGGTAATACTCAACCTGTATTTTCAGGGTATGATTATATTAACAGAAACATCTAGCTTACTGTTAGAGCAGTAGGCTATATACAAGTAAGGGGTAATGGGTAGATAGAGTCCTGTGTTACTGAATCAGATCATGTGTGGCTGGAAACAATAGATTCACCTTGAATTTAATGTAAATGAATATTGACCCATGTTAACATATATATTCTGTGTCAGTAAAACAAGAATGCACAGATGTATTTGTTTGCTTTCTCAGGTACAAAGTCTTGAATCAAAGATTTCTGATTCACAATGTATAAACTTGGTGGCTAAATCTTCATTTCTAATTCCATTTTCTAATTTAAAAAAGCTAGAACGCTATGAAAATTGATTAGAGTTCAATTAGGTGGCAAATAAGCATAATTATCCTGGAGCATCTAGTAGTCCCAAAACAATAGAATATGCTAGAAAATGACACAACCACATATCGAACTGCAAACATACAGGTATTTGAAATTGATTGGGGATACAATGAAAAAACTTCCCAGTGGCATTCAGCCTAAACTCAATTACACCAAGCTTCCATGGTTCTGAGGATTTTGGTCTTGCACTTAGGTGCACTACCAGCATCCCTGCATCTACAGCTTCCAGAAAGCCTTTTGTGGAAAATCTCAGCCTGGATCTATACTTATGTGAGAAAATACCATAAATAAATCCCTTCTCATCTACCTATCTACCTACCTACTTACCTACCTACATACATACTTATCCATTCTATTGCTTCCGTCTATTTGGATAAAATTAACTAATACAAATACTGGTAATCAGAATGGTTCCAGAAAAACATTTTATTTTTTAAATTGTTTTTATTGAGATGGAGTATCGCTATTTATTTCTCTTGCCTGATTGCCCTAACCAGAACTTCCAATATCATGTTGAATACAAGTGGTAAGAGAGGGCATCCTTGTCTTGTGTCCATTTTCAAATGAAATGCTTCCAGCATTTGCCCATTCAGTATGATATTATCTGTGGGTTTGTCATATATAGCTCCTATTATTTTGAGGTACGTTTCTTTAATACCTAGTTTATTGAGAGTTTTTAACATGAAGGGATGTTTTTTGATATACTGCTAGATTTGGCTTGCCAGTATTTTGTTGAGGATTTTTTCATTGATGTTCATCAAGGATATTGGCTTGAAGTTTTCCCTTTTTGTTGTATCTCGTCAGGTTTTGCTATCAGGATGATACTGGCCCCACAGGATGAGTTAGGGAAGAGTTTCTCCTTTTCACTTTTTGGAATAGATTCAGCATAAATGGTACCAGCTCTTCTTTGTACCTCTGGTAGAATTCAGCTGTGAATCCATCTGGTCCTGGGCTTTTTATGGTTGGGAGGCTATTTATTACTGCCTCAATTTCAGAACAGAACTTATTATTGGTCTATTCAATTTCTTCATGGTTCAGTTTTGGGAGGGTGTGTCAAGGAATTTATCCTTTCTTCCAGATTTTCTACTTTGTGTGCGTAGAGATTACAGTTACAGTATTCTCTGATGGTTGTATTTCTGTGTGGTCAGTGGTGATGTCCCCCTTATCATTTTTGATCGTGTTTATTTGAATCTTCTATCTTTTCTTCTTTATTACTCTAACTAATGATCTATGGCCAATCTATTTTACTAAATTTTCAAAAAACCAGCTCCTGGATTCATTAACTTTTCAAGGGTTTTTTTGTGCCTCTATCACCTTCAGTTCAGCTCTGTTCTTGGTTATTTCTTGTCTTCTGCTAGAGCTTTGAGATTTGTTTGCTCTTGGTTCTCTAGTTCTTTTAGTTGTGATGTCAGGCTGTTAACTTGAGATCTTTCTAGCTTTTTGATATGGGCATTTAGTATTATAAATTACCCTCTTAAGACTGCTGTAGCTGTGTCCCAGAGATTGTACATTGTGTTTTTGTTCTTATTAGTTTCAAATAACTTCTTGATTTATGCCTTAATATCATCATTTACCCAAGACTCATTCAGGAGCAGGTTGTTCAGTGTCCATGTAGTTGGGTGGTCCTTTTGGCTTTTCTTTGTATGTTTAAATTTTCAATGTAATCAGAAAACTGCTCATGTAGTTACAAAAAATTATGAATTCCCCTGCTATACTCATAAACTTGAAGATAAACTCTGAGTCTGATTAAATTCAAAACACATTTTCATAAGATTTAACATCCAGGTTATCTAAATAGACTTCCTATAACTGCAAGTTTTACTCTCTGCCTTTCTGTAAACTGGTTTAAGAAACATTTTTTTTGCTTTGTTTTATCAAAATAATTCTATACTTTCTTTATTAGTTTTTTAATTGCTAAAAAAATACCTAAAAGGGTTAAGGTTTTTACATTCATGTAACCTTCTTTATTGCCTTCAGAGTGTTTTGATTATTGCTTTGGTAAAATGAGCAACTACTGTTTTACAACGACCGGTGGTTCTGTTTTAATCAAATGTTTTGAAACTCTTAACATCTTTAACATCTTTGACAGAGGTAAAGTCAAATCCTAAATTAAGTCTCTGACATATTGCTGAAGTTTGTATCAAAGCTATAAAATTAATCACTGAATGATAAATTTTTTTTACCACTTCCAGTCAGGTCATGGACCATAGTATGACCACCTCCAGCCCCTTAAAAAAATCCTTATTAGGTGCTATTAACTATCCTTGTGCTGTTATGTTACAGAGCTTTGACTCCTAAGTACACATATCTCATCTAAAAAGTGGCACCGACTCCTGCCATTATCTAACACCAAATTCAAGTTAACCAAAGTCTCATCTTGGCACCAGGGCAAAGGCAACAATCAGAGTAAACTGCTTTCAAGAGTCACCAGGACATACTTCGATTTAAAAACATTACAATTCTTAGATCCTTCAATATATAGTTCTATATGGGCTACTAGAATTGGTGTTTGGTCTGATATGTGGCTTTTTATGTAATGACATCCTTTGATTGCTATTTCTGTTTATACTAGTATTTCTATATCTACTACGTGTGCTGTCCGTTGATTTGTGATGTCAACAAATGCTTGGCTGTAGGTATATAAGGTGGGTGAGTCGTCTTTAGTCATGTCACGTATGCTTTCTTCCAAGGTGTATTTAGGAATACATAAAGAACTTCTATGAAGATGCACTGATTAAAAAGCCAAGGCAGGAGGATCCCTTGGGCCCAGGAGTTTAACACCAGCCTGGACTACATAATGTGAACCTGTCTCTATAAAAAATAAAACGAGCTGAGCATGGTGGTGTGGACCTGCAGTTCTAGCTTCACAGGAGACTGAGGTGGGAGGGTCACTTGACCCCAGGACTTTGAAGCTACAGTGAACTGTGATGGTGCCAATGCACTCTAGCCCAGACAAAAGAGTGAGACCTTATCTCTGTTATTATTTTTTTAATTATACTTTAAGTTTTAGGGTACATGTGCACAATGTGCAGGTTAGTTACATATGTATACATGTGCCATGCTGGTGTGCTGTACCCATTAAATCATCATTTAGCATTAGGTATATCTCCTAAAGCTATCCCTCCCCCCTCCCTTCACCCCACAACAGTCCCCAGAGTGTGATGTTCCCCTTCCTGTGTCCATGTGTTCTCATTATTCAATTCCCACCTATGAGTGAGAAAATGCGGTGTTTGGTTTTTTGTTCTTGCGATAGTTTACTGAGAATGATGATTTCCAATTTCATCCATGTCCCTACAAAGGACATGAACTCATCATTTTTTATGGCTGCATAGTATTCCATGGTGTATATGTGCCACATTTTCTTAATCCAGTCTATCATTGTTGAACATTTGGGTTTAGAATGACAATCATTAAAAAGTCAGGAAACAACAGGTGCTGGAGAGGATGTGGAGAAATAGGAACACTTTTACACTGTTGGTGGGACTCTAAACTAGTTCAACCCTTGTGGAAGTCAGTGTAGTGATTCCTCAGGGATCTAGAACTAGAAATACCATTTGACCCAGCCATCCCATTACTGGGTATATACTCAAAGGACTATAAATCATGCTGCTATAAAGACACATGCACACGTATGTTTATTGTGGCACTATTCACAACAGCAAAGACTTGGAACCAACCCTATCTCTGTTATTAAAAAAAGTAGATGCACTGAATAGATATGTGTATGGAAACTCTTCAGGCATTGTATTGGGTCAAATGAATGTCAAGGAAATGGTCTAATTGAGGCTCTAAATATTATTGTTATCAATTCCTTGGTTTTCCAGCAACTGTTCCAAACATGATATATTTTTGTAAAGTACAAATTGTGGAGTGTGTTCTGGTAATCCTACAAATTTAGGTGCTGTGTGAGTTTGCATTGTTTGATATGCATATATTATCTGATATTAAAAATTAAACATAACACTGCAAATAAACTAAGATACAATACCCCACTGATGCATTGCATCTTCATCTGTTCTAACAACACAGCATAGGGTTGCTGTTAGCAGTGGTATGGCAGTTTGAGTAAGGTGAGGTACATAAAGCAAAGGTAGTTCGTTCTATGGGTTTTCTCTTACCTTATTAAGCAGTTTAGCAATACAATCTATATGACAGGGGACCACCGTAATCCTCAAAGCCTGTGTATTCAGCTGAGCTTAAAATGGTTCCTAATGCTGTACTTACTTCACAAACACAGAGAGGATAAAACTGGTAGTGGTGTCTGGTTTCCACCAGGTCTGGTTTGACATTCCAGTTTGGGCCTATCTGATGGAGCTCACATGCTTCAGCTGATTCATCAAGAAAATCTGGTGAGATGGTCATAAAGATCCTAGACAGTGAAGATGTGGCTGAAGATAAAGAAAAAGGTGAATAAGGCAAGAACATAAAGGGGTGATAAGAGATCTTGGAGTTGCTGAATGTGATCTTGGAGATGCTAAGTCCATACACTGGAGGTGCATTACAGGTGTTGGTGTGCAAATTATTAATCCAATGATGTAATTAGCAAGAAAATAGTGTAATTTTTAATTTTTCTACAGTGAGAGAAGTGTGTGCTTGCATTACTCTGGTTTGCAATCTCTGTGGTGGCAATATAAGGAATCACAAGACTGTAAAGTCACTATGATGGCTAGTAAGATGTGAATAACAAAGGTGGTAAGACCAACAGTTGAGAAGCTACAAAAATTCACAGGTGTGATGTTGTCTTAAGCGAGTGACATATTTTATTATTCCAGTGATGGCTATAAGTGATGGTATTAGGTTAGTAGCAAGTAAAATTCGATTGAATTCAATACAATTTCAATTACATTAATACAATGATTAAAAAACAGCAGTGCAGTACCAATTTTGCAGAAAGTATAATAACAAATATAGTTCTAGTGAAAACCAGGAGAAAGGTTGCAGATTGTGTATAATTGTATTTCTCCTATTTTTCCTATAGTCCAGTAAGTATTTACATGTCCATTGGCCACAATGTCCACTTGGGAGATACTGATGTCATTAAGTTTAGTGCTCACCTTGTAAGATATAGATAATATTTACATCATTTTCTTCCTTATTCTATTTTTTTTTTTTAGACAGGGTCTCACTCTGTCACCCAGGCTGGAGTGCAGTGGCATGATCTTGACTCACTGCAACCTCCGCCTCCTGGGTTCAAGTGATTCCTATGCCTCAGCCTCCCGAGTAGCTGGGATTAAAGGTATCCGCCATGACACCTGGCTAATTTTTGTATTTTTAATAAAGAACGGGTTTCACCATGCCCTTTTCAGGCTGGTCTCGAACTCCTGACCTCAAGTGATCTGCCCACCTCGGCCTCCTAAAGTGCTGAGATTACAGGAGTGAGCCACTGCACCCAGCCTCCTTATTCTGTAAGACCACTAAGGTCAGTTGATTAAAATAAGAGTAGGGTTGCTCTCATTGAGTCTTTCTCATTGTTTTAAATTAAAACGTATCAGGTTATTGGATTGTACTCATTTTTTCCTAAAGTTTTTAATTCTCTTTTTGATAATCCATTTTAAATCTATATATATGCAGCTGCTGTGAGATGATAAGGTAGGAAAAAAAATTCCATTATATATCCCATTTATCTGCCAATGCCTGTTATTGCTTGATGCAAAATGAGTTACCTGATCACTTCCAAATTTTTTAGGGGCTGCACAGTGAGCTACCATAAATTCTAAGGCTGAGATGGTGTATTTGGCAGGTAAGTGGCTAACTTTATTGCTATGCAAATTGCTGTACATATATCCAGCTTTTTTAGTGCATATGTTTGTGGGTAGGGATGATTCAGTATCCAATAAAAATCTTTTGTTAGCCCAAGTTGAACGTGCCAGGTCTATGGGTTTAGTGTAACTATACTTTTCTAGATTGGTTTTATATTGTTCACAATTACCTATGCCGTATTGAATTTGATGCCATGCCACTTTTAATTTGTCTGATCGCCACCTGTACAGTGATCATGTGCCTAAGTCTCTTTTTTTCATTATATACTTAGAGGTGTGTTTGTGAAGTGTAAGCTGCTTCTGGTGTCTGTTTAATTGTAAAATCACTTTCCTGTTTTACTATAATTATTAGGGGTACTTGTGGTATCTCCCATTTATTGTCCAATTTTCTGCTGCATTGTAGAGGTGGTACTGAAGTGTCCCATGAGTTGTCTGGATTTCTGTGTTGCTTTAGTTGGGGTGTGTTTTGTGTGCAATGGTTATATTCCCTGATAATGCATCTACTTGATTATAAAAATTTAAGGTCTCTGAATTATATTTTTGTTGTACTGTTGTATGATAAGTATCTTAATTCTGTTTGATAACTCACTTCCTCCCAATAAAACTTGGACCATATATCTTTACCATTAATTTTAAAATCATTTTGTATCTATTTGTGTGACCATAGGTTTATTTCATTTGCAACTGCCCATGAGTCTGTAAAAATGCAAATTTTATGTTGTTTTTCTAATACTGAGTCTCTGACTGCTAGAACATCTGCAATCAGTCCTGCACTCTGTGCAGAGAGTAACTGATCTGCTTCCTTCAGGATTGTGTGGTCCTGGGATCTGAGTGCTGCTTTGTCCATTGGATCTGGCTTTGGGTCACGGAGGCTCATCCGTCTGTAAACCAGGTGTTGAGCAAGACATTAGACCAGACAGGGCCCCATTTGCCGAGATTGACATGGATTGTCCCTGTCCTCAGAATACATTCTGGCAAGTCTATTTCAGTCTTGACAATCTCCTCAGTGAGGAGACCTGGTTGACCCTTAAGGCCAGTGTTTCAACCCTGGATGCACCATTTTCAGGTGAGCAGCTTTAATCAATTTGGATACCTGTCAATTCTTCAGGACTCAGTTTTATCCAGTGAAGGAGAGCCACATAGCATCTAACTGTAATGATGTTGTTGCCAGGCAAAAGCTCAGTATCTTAAGTACATGTAGGCCATGTACATTTTTCAAATGGGCTTTTAATTTGTTGTTAGTGTGAAAATTTTATTGTACAAAATCCCACTGGCAGGAAGAATTTAGAATCTAATTTCTTTGTCCACAATGACCATGGACCTTTCCACATTCAGCACGCATCAGAATTTCCAACCAAAGTTGTGAATCAGAAGATGGATGATGCAAAGTGTGAAATGTGTTAATGTAGCCTTTCAGTGTTGCAAGTGCTTATGTTTGTTTTTGTCCCCACACGAACTTGGAAATTCTTAGTTGTCTTATGTATTGGTTTTAGGATGATGTTTAAATAGGCATATGCTGTCTCCCATATCCAAATAAACCTACTAATCTTTGCCCTACATGTTAATTGATGCCTTAGGGGCTTTTATCTATCATTATCATCATTACTTTTCTCCCTTCTAATGGCTGTTGTACTCCTTAAAATTTGCATTTGGTGTCTGGGCCTGTGGTTTGTCTATATGAATAGTCTATCTCAGTGATCTTAAAAGCAATATTAATTGGGATGTTTCTTGTTTAACATTTATCTGGCCATTGTGTTAACATTTAATGTCATGTATGTATATTATTAATGATGTGTATTTTAATTCATCTATGAGTGATGATAAAATACAGTGGGCTGGCCAGGCGCGGTGGCTCACACCTGTAATGCCAGCACTTTGGGAGGCAGGCGGATCACGAGGTCAGGAGATCCAAACCGGATATCCTAACACGGTGAAACCCTGTCTCTACTAAAAATACAAAAAAAAAAAAAAAAAATTAGCCGGGCATGGTGGCAGGCGCCTGTAGTCCCATCTACTCGGGAGGCTGAGGTAGGAGAATGGCGTGAACCTGGGAGGCGGAGCCTACAGTGAGCTGAGATTGCGCCACTGCACTCCAGCCTGGGCAACAGAGCAAGACTCCGTCTCAAAAAAAAAAAAAAAAAAAATACAGTGGGCTGTTTAATTGCCTTGCATTAAACTTTTAAATTAGTATTTTTTGTCTTTGTAAATAAAGTTGGTATATTCCTGGTTTTCTTTACTGGTAAAACAAAGACACTATCTAACAAGTCTATGGTTACATAGTCTTTTTGATTATAGTAAGAAATTGTAATAATAAATTCTACATCTGGTAATGTTTCTGGCATTTTAGGTGAGACTTTATTTAAATTGGTATCATCAATAGTTCATCTATAGCTCTCATTTGGTTTCAGGACAGGCCATACTGGACAATTAAAGTTATTCAATATGCCCATTATAGTAATATCTTCTTTGAGGAGTCCACATCCTTTGCTTTTATTTCTTCATGTATTCCCTGTAATGGGTACTGTTTAGTGTATGTAGCCTGGTGGGGTGTAGTCACTGTTAGAGGTTTCATTTTAATTTGTGTTAGGTCAGAGAACTTTCATTCCTTTAGTTTCTTAATAAGCCACCTCAGGTTTAAAAGCTTTGCAATCAATCCATTTCTGTAATGTTTTCTAATTTTGGTGAACAGTAAAACATGCAAGAAATACATTTATAGTGCATATAGAAGCAGAGACTGGGGAGACTCTAGTTAATATTCCTCAGTCCTTTATAGAGATGTTTGTATCAAAGTGTGGTACGCTGTATCTAAGGAGGCTTATTTGTCATCTGGTGTCTAAAAGAAATGTGTCCATATGTGTATATTTGTCTATCTCTATAGCCAGTGTATATATGTCCTGTGATCCCCAAGTTCAAGTATTATAGCCTGGGGGGGTCCAAGATTTAAGAAAAAAATGTCTTGTAAAATTTCTGTTTTCACTGCTGTTTCTGAAGAGGTGGGTTTAGTCTTGGAATTCAGGAGTGTCTTTCCCGTTATTTTGGTATCCGGATGGTGGCCTTAGATGGTCCTGTTGCCAGTTTGGCCTTTATGTCCTTGCTTGCCAATCATTTTGTTTAGATTGTGAATTACTTTACATGGGTTACCAATTTCTCTATGTTGGTTTATTTTGCCAAGGTATACAGCCCAATTTTAAATAAAATTTGAGACTTTTATATTGAACATAAATTTAATTTTAGTGCCTTCCAGGGTTTATTTCTTAGTATTTGTATTAGGTTTGTAATAAATATTACCTTATAGGCAGCTGATTTATCTGCCAAAAGTTTGAGTGTTTCCAGTGTATCTTACATGTTTGTCCATGCTGAGAGAGTGTTCCTTTAGGAGACTTTCAGGTTAGGAGGTACTCATAATAGGTGCTCTTAATTTCATTTGAAGCTAGAATTTCAAATGAGTGGCATATCACTTCTAGCTATAATATACCAATTGTAAAATGACTAATTTCCTTATATTTCTTTGTGGCTGATGGTAAATCATTGCATTTGAGTCCACCTCTAAATTTTGTTGGGTCTAAATATGGTTGGATGGATCTACAGGTGAATGTGACCCAGTCCCAGAGATTATAGGACATGTTTTGGGTATTTTATTGTCAGTTCTATGCTGGCAGACCAAACAGTGGATCAAAAACGTTTTTCTGATCCACTTGAAGCCCCTCTGATCTGGGAAGGCTCTGTAAGATAAAACCTCAATATTCTTCTGTGGAAACAGAATGGGCCACCTCTCAGGGATACATGTTTCAGTCCTCAGGATGGTTACAATCAGAGGATGGCAAGGTTCATCTACCAGCTGCCGGCCAATGGAAACCTTCACCAGGCCTTCCACCAAAGTAAGAATAAAACCTATCAATTGCCCCAGAGATTGTTTTCAGGTAAAAATGTGCTACCAACAGTCAAATAGGTCATTAATGCTTGTGAGACTTGCCTTAAGAATTATCCCCTCAATCAACAGCTTATTACCCCCAGAACCCAAAGAACAGGAGCTACCCCAGGGAAAGAATATGTTTCCCAGGCTGTTCTTGAACTCCTGGGATCAAGCAATCCTCCTGCCTTGGCCTCCCAAAGTGCTGGGATTATAAATGTGAACCTTCACACCAGGCCCAATATTAGACCTTATTGTTTGAGAAACTGAGTCTCTTCTCTTTCTATCAAATAATAAAGGTTTTGGTTTTTAAAAATATTTAAAATACCATTTTTGGCTTAATAATTTATTCTATACTGATCACTGGTTCTGTTTTGTAACATCAAGTGTCTTGAACCTTTGATATTTGACAAAATTTCCAAATCGAATTCTAAATTCAGTCTTAATGGCCTAATTAACTTTTTAAATATTAGTTCCCCTGAAGTCCAAGAGAGACACATTTGGCCTATTTCATGTGTTAAAAATCATACAGGTTTTAGGTCTAACATTTAAGTCTTTAATCCATCTTGAATTACCTTTTGTATAACGTGTAAGGAAGGGATCCAGTTTCAGCTTTCTACATATGGCTAGCCAGTTTTCCCAGCACCATTTATTAAATAGGGAATCCTTTCCCCATTTCTTGTTTTTGTCAGGTTTGTCAAAGATCAGATGGTTGTAGATATTCGGCTTTATTTCTGAGAGCTCTGTTCTGTTCCATTGGTCTATATCTCTGTTTTGGTACCAGTACCATGCTGTTTTGGTTACTGTAGCCTTGTAGTATAGTTTGAAGTCAGGTAGCATGATGCCTCCAGCTTTGTTCTTTTGGCTTAGGATTGATTTGGCAATGCAGGCTCTTTTCTGGTTCCATATGAACTTTAAAGTAGTTTTTTCCAATTCTGTGAAGAAAGTCATTGGTAGCTTGATGGGGATGGCATTGAATCTATAAATTACCTTGGGCAGTATGGCCATTTTCACGATACTGATTCTTCCTACCCATGAGCATGGAATGTTTTTCCATTTGTTTGTATCCTCTTTTATTTCATTGAACAGTGGTTTGTAGTTCTCCCTGAAGAGGTCCTTCACATCCCTTGTAAGTTGGATTCCTAGGTATTTTATTCTCTTTGAAGCAATTGCAAATGGGAGTTCGCTCATGATTTGGTTCTCTGTTTGTCCGTTACTGGTGTGTAAGAATGCTTGTGATTTTTGCACATTCTCCAACAAATTTACAAGAAAAAAACAAACAACCCCATCAAAAAGTGGGTGAAGGATATGAACAGACACTTCTCAAAAGAAGACATTTATGCAGCCAAAAGACACATGAAAAAATGCTCATCATCACTGGCCATCAGAGAAATGCAAATCAAAACCACAATGAGATACCATCTCACACCAGTTAGAATGGCAATCATTCAAAAGTCAGGAAACAACAGGTGCTGGAGAGGATGTGGAGAAATAGGAACACTTTTACACTGTTGGTGGGACTGTAAACTAGTTCAACCATTGTGGAAGTCAGTGTGGCGATTCCTCAGGGATCTAGAACTAGAAATACCATTTGACCCAGCCATTCCATTACTGGGTATATACCCCAAGGATTATAAATCATGCTGCTATAAAGACACATGCACACGTATGTTTATTGTGGCACTATTCACAATAGCAAAGACTTGGAACCAACCCAAATGTCCAACAATGATAGACTGGATTAAGAAAATGTGGCACATATACGCCATGGAATACTATGCAGCCATAAAAAGGATGAGTTCATGTCCTTTGTAGGGACATGGATGAAGCTGGAAACCATCATTCTCAGCAAACTGTCGCACGGACAAAAAACCAAAACACCGCATGTTCTCACTCATAGGTGGGAACTGAACAATGAGAACACATGGACACAGTAAGGGGAACATCACACACCGGGGCCTGTTGTTGAGTGGGGGGAGGGGGGACGGACAGCATTTGGAGATATATCTAATGTTAAATGACGAGTTACTGGGTGCAGCACACCAGCATGGCACATGTGTACATATGTAACTAACCTGCATGTTGTGCACATGTACCCTAAAACTTAAACTATAATAAAAAAAATCACACAGGAAGCATGGTTGAATATTTAACTTACTTTGGGTTCTATTTATCTAAATGTTTTATTAGTTTGTGCTCCATTATCATATGAGATGCTAGTAATTCTGATATGTCTTACTATATGTTATCGGTAATAATTATGATTATGTTAAATTGTTGTATGCCACAGAAATAACCAAATTTCCTTGTCAGCTTTGCCTGTAAACATGCTGTCTTAGTTTTTCATTCACAACTATTATTTTACATTAAATATTCTCAAAAAAGTGGTTTATAAAAAAGCAGTGGGCCAAAACTCGCTTCTTCAGTGGAGTTCATGAAAATGACTCTGACCAGTTTTCTTGAATTTAGGTTTCTGATAACTTTGGAGATTGTGCCATTGTACTAGTGAAAACAACAATAAAAAAAAACCCAAAAAACTTCCAGAACTCTAATTAACACGCTGATGTGTTCATGAGGATTGCTAAGCCAATATAAAGTAGAACAAGTTAATTATGTGGGACTGAACTAATAGAAGACTGAAATAACTTTTTAGGACTTTTTTGTTTGAAACATTGATGACTCTTTTCGTTTTGTTTTTCAGAGTAAACTTTCTAAAAGTTATTTACAGTTTTTAACAATTGAGTACAGAATACTCTTGAGAAAAATTTGAAGCATATTTCCCTCTACCTGTACTTCTCCAAAATTTGAAAGCTATTTCTGAATATTCTTAATATACAGCAATATAAGTTATTTGCATATAATCGATAATAATCTTTTTTTTAATGGGACACAATTGGAGATGCTGGTTATCTTGCCAAGGCTTTGCCTGGAATAGCGTATTTTCATCTATAAGCAGATTGCTTTGAGGAATTTAGGTTGAATTATAGAGCAATAAAATCCTCCTGGAAAGACGGGCTTTGTACCTTCTCTATGCAGTTACTTTGCAGGTTTTCTGACCTGTGGCAGGAAAAGTTACTTTGAGAGGCCTAGGAACTCCAAGTAATCTTGTGATCTCAAGATGAGAAGAATTCTCCCAATTCATGTAGTTATTTGCAGGCACAGCAAATACTTGGTTGAGTTTGAGAGGCTTTTTGAAAAGTCACATCTTAGATACCTTATTAAAAATGCTCCATCAAAGCCAATTTATAAGAGCCTATATGAAAAAAATTATTCTTGCTACACTTTGTGAAAATAATCACGTCAAGTAAAATAAACTAAAACTTATTTTGAAAATAAATTGGTCCTACTATGATCTGTCTTAAGTAAAAATGGAAGACTGGAGAAAAAAATATAAATTTCAAATGAAATTATAGTATATCTTTTATTGGATTCTAGCCTTGTCCATTGCCTTCCAGTTTTATAATTTTCTACAATTTAGCTGGACTGGATCCTAAATTCTTTGCTGGCTACAAATATCTAAACAAGCATTTTCAACATCTTTTTTTTCTTCTTTCCCATTTCTTCTGACTTAGGATCAGTAGAAATTAAAACTGTGCTTTTCATAAAGCCCTGCAGACTGAAGCTAGAAAACTTAAACTTTGGGAGAAATAACAGCATCTTGTTTATGTACACAAAATATTTTCATGACTGTCTAGTGATATATGGACTGCTCTGTAATATAGCCTGTATAAGTTTTCCAGAATCGCTTTCTACTTTGTTGCTATAATCCAGCTGTTTCCTTTTTTCTTATTTCTTTCCTTTCTTTCTTCTTCCCCCTATTTCTTCACAACCTTCTAGAATGAGTCTTCTTAAAAATGTGCAACCTAACATTCTAGGAGTAAACCATTGTAGTGTTGAAATATCAGGGAGAAAAACATAACCAAACACTCATTTTCTTCTAAAATGCTTTCTCTGAAATATTTTAAAGAACAAGGAAAATAAAATCTTGGGACCCCAAACTCACTATGCCAAAGGAAAACTTGGGAACTGAGTCATGCAAATACCACCTTCCTTTTGTTTCCCAAACAGACAGCTGTAATTTCACAAGTTCACTTATCTTATGTAAAATGTATATCTACCAAGCATTAAAGAAATGCACATCAACTTTTTCCCCACTCCTCTTTACACTTGTAACATAAGAATGTAGTGAGTGCTAATCAAGGCCTTACAAGAATGTACCACTTGACCCACTGCCTATCCCCTACTTTATTTTCTTTTCCTCCTTTTCATTCAGTGTGGTCTCACCCCCATAAATACTGAAGTTAGCAAAACCCTCTTTGGAAAAAGTACAGGTCAAACATCCTACCGTTACTTGTGTTTCCTTTTCCCAGGCATAACCTTAAAATTGACAAAATAATTTTCTAAAATGAATGAGATACGTCTCAGTTGTTTTTGGTTTACAAAGGTCTACACCAAACATTAAAAGTCAGTATTTGCTACTATTGACAGCTTTTTTCAAGTAATTTTCATATGCATCAATTGTAAAATACATTGTTATTTTATGTCTCAATAAAAGCATAAAACTATGGAAAACTGTAACTCTTCTTACCACTTAAAAATTTTATCTCATATATAGTGAAAATAATACTTTTGAACTTACATATATGTCTTATGTAACTCCTATGATCACATGAGATAGAAAATAAGAGTAAAATAGATGATATGGTTTGGCTTTGTGTCCCCACCCAAATCTCATCTTGTAGCTCCCATAATTCCGTGTCATGGGAGGGAGCTGGTCAGAGATAATTGAATCATCTTTCACTGGTTTCATCTTTCTCATGCTGTTCTCACCATAGCCAATGTCTCATGAGATCTGATGGTTTTAAAAAGAGGAGTTCCCCTGCACAAGCTCTCTCTTGGCCTGCTGCCATCCATGTAAGACATGACTTGCTCCTCCTTGCCTTCCACCAAGATTGTGAGGCCTCCCCAGCCACATGGAGCTCTAAGTCCAATAAACCTTTTTCTTTTGTAAATTGCCCAGTCTCAGGTATGTCTTTATCAGCAGCATGAAAACAGACAAATAGGTAATATTTAGATAAAACTCTTCTAAATCACTTTTCAACTTAGGTTGTCCATGAATTTTCCCAACATTGCATCATCACTACTAATTAGAAGCTTTGTTGATGCCACAATTATTGTGAGTACCATAAAACCTTCTGTTAGATTATCTTTCTTAACTACTGATATCCCACTATGAGTTATATTAACAGTATCACCAGAATGTGAAAATGAGTTTTTTACACCAAGTTCATGTGTGTGCACACAAAGGCAATCACATTATGACTGTCTTCTGATTAACAGTGTTCTTACAATATTAATTTTATGATCCATCTCTACTTGAAATATGTAAAAAATATGCCCTTTAATATAAATGGAACACGCTCTTTTTCTCTATGACTGCCTCCTTCTCAGCATAAAATCATGGTGGCTCATCTGATGTATTCTGGTCTATTATTGAAGAAACATGCTCAACTAGTTTCAAATTAGTTGAACAACTGGGTTTACCTGCTACCTAAGGATTAGAGTTAGAGTTATTACTGCACTACAAGAACTCCTATTTTAAATGTTGCTGTGAATTATTTAAATTTCATATTACTTGGGCATTTATTTTGGATATAGGTTTGATTTGCTCATACCAGAAATAGGGTTTAGAAATCCATGATAGTTTCCAGTTTGTGCCCTCTTCCAATTTCCTCAATGTGGTAATTCCATATTTGTCCTTATAAAATGCTCTCCAGGTGACTATTCCACGTAGGACAGCTGGACACAACACTTATTTCACCCCCACAGACCCTTCAGGGAAATGCATAGATATTCTGCAATAACCAACTCTTGGTCACAGCACGATGCTATGGAAATCATGGTTGCTTGACATTAACCCAGCACTTTGAACTCCTCATGAGAAACCTGCTTGGGTGACACTCCAAAACCCAATTGTGATGTTTTATTTTAGGAGTCAACTAACTGTATTAGGGAACACCTAGAACACTGGCAAAGCATTGCTTCTGGGTCTATGAGGGTTTCACCAGAAAAGTCTGATACGTGAGTCAGTGGACAGAGTGCGGAAGATCCTGTGATAGAGCAGGGACCCCTTGTTAGGGGCCTATGGGTTCCCCAAGCAGGGAAATAAAGGAAAATCGTGAGTCCCTTCAAGGCAAATCCCAGGTACCTAGCTAGCACTGAGAAGTCAATGAAGAACTTGATAAGCAAGAAGGTAATAGTAGCTCAAACAATAGCCAAGGATGTTACAGTTAGAAGATGTTTGTTTTGTTCCCCATGAAAACCAAAGATACCATCTTAACATACATTGCTGAGTCATTTTTCATAAACCTGGACCCCCACCAAATGGATCTGCTGACACGGAGACCTCAGATAAGAGAGACCTGAAGGCTGAACTCTGACTGCTGTTGTCCTAAATATCTTCCTAAGGGGCCTACAGGGAGTCATATCCGTGAGCCAGAGCTAACACGTTTTTCTACTGACCCCAAATTTTAAAACAAAGCTTCTCTTCTTTAACCAACTGCAAATCAGAAACCCTTGAATCTGTATATAACCTATAAGCCCCTGCTTGAGCACTGCTTCGAGATATCCCATCCTTGGCCAGGCACGGTGGGTCATGCCTGTAATCCCAGCACTTTGGGAGGCTGAGGTGGGCGGATCACAACGTCAGGAGTTCGAGACCAGCCTGGCCAATATGGTGAAACCCTGTCTCTACTAAATTTACCAAAATTAGCCGGGCATGGTGGCAGGTGCCTGTAGTCCCAGCTACTCAGGAGGCTGAGGCACGAGAATTGCTTGAACCCGAGAGGCGGAGGTTGCAGTCAGCTGAGATTGTGCCATTGCACTCCAGCCTGGACAACAGAGTAAGAATCCGTCTCAAAAAGAAAGAAAAAGGAAAGAAAAAGATATCCCATCGTTTTATAACAAAACCAATGCAATACTCCATGTATTGATTTATAGTTTTGCCAAAAACTTCTGCTTTCCTGAAATTTACCCCTTCAGTTAACCCTTACCTACAAGCCATTGGGGAAGTGGGAACTTAAGCATTAGCTGCGTGATTCTTCTTTCTTGACAGCATGCACATAAACACCTCTTTTTCTCCCACTGCAAACATCAATGTAGATACCTGGGCTTGCTGCTCTGTGTGAACAGACCCCAGTTCGGTTCTGTAACAATCCACTCACTTTGTGTGTGAGCAATATCCAGTGGGCTGAGGGCCCAGAAAAAACAAAAAAGGAGTGAAAATGATTTTGCTCTCCCTCTCTCCTGGAGCTGGCACACTCTCTACCTCCTGCCCTTGGACATCTTAACTACAAGCTCTCTTCCTTGGGACCCCAGAACTTACTTCTGCATCCCTCCACATTCTCAGGCCTTTAACCTCAGACTGGGAATTACATTGTCAACTTTCCTCATTCTGAGATTTTCAGACTTGGAATGAGCTATGCTACTGGTATTTCAGCGTTTCTAGCTTGCAGAAGATCTGCCTTAGGTTCCATAATCATGTGACCCAATTTCTGTAATTAATCTCCCCCCATCTGTCTGTCTATGTATCTATCCTATTTGTTCTCTCTCTCTAAAGAACCGTAATACAGATTTTTTTTAACCATGAATGGGTTATAGGGAACAAAATTTCAAGGATAAGTTTTTTTCACTGGCTTAGGGGTTTCTAAAATTTTGGATCGGTAACCTGATGATACCTAAAAATGCTTAAGACTCTACTTCTAATAGTAAAGAGAACACACTGCTAGTCCATTTCATGAACTGCTTAAGAGACATGCAAACATCTGCCTTTGACACTAGTAATCAACCACTGATAAGAGGCAAGGAACTTGGTGACTCTGAAAGCATTATCTTTAAATATCAGTGGAAAACTTAAGGACTCTGCTTCTAGTGTTGCTGAGCAAAGGGATGAATAAAAAAAGATAAACTAAGAGATTCAAACTTCAGAATCCAGCTCCACATAAAAAGCCTTACAGTGCTCTGAGAGAGAATTGTATCTCCTGTAGTCATAGGGCTGAAAATGCTGAAAATGAAACACAAGCCATCACCAAGCAGTTGGCTGAATTACTGTGAAAGTTGACTTTCCAGCCTAGCAAGGTGTCTACTGTAAATTTATAGCACTGTTCAGGAAAGAATGAAACCCTGTAAACTGGGTTAGGAACATGTTGGGAGACTGTGTGGAGGTTGGAGACATTGAGCTCTGAAATTCTGATGTCTCTGCCAGTGAAAATGGCCCCCTACACCCATCTCCATGGCAGTGGCCTCCCCACCCACATTGGTATATCCAGTTCCACCTCTGTTTGAAGGGAGTAATCCAGCATTGCCTGAGGAAAAGATAGTGGACTCCCCTGAAGCAGTTGCTGAGGAATGCAGTGCTGCTTCTCCTCAGACCCCACACCCACCACTTCCTTTTTGCTTCTGGATCTGTAAGTAGACTCGAATTCCAACAGTCCCTTAAAAATGACATACAAAGTTTGACCCACAGGAACTTCATTACAGTCCAAGAAAACTATTTGAGTTTTCTAATTTATACAAGCAGAAATCTGGGGAACACATGTGGAAAAGGATATTAAGAGTTGGGATAATGGGTGGAGAAAACATAAAGTCGGATCAGCCCAAATTTATTGATATGGACCCATTAAACAAAGACACTGGTTTTAGTGCTGCAGTATGGGGAGTTAGAAAGGGCTCTAATTGTTTGGTTGGCTGAACCATGAATCAAAAGATGGCCCTCCTTTATCCAGTTGGATGTGTGTGATCTCCCTTGGCCTATGTGGAGGAAAAGATTCAAAGGCTTAGAACAAATGGGACTCTGGAATGCACTTGTCATTTGAAATTTACTCACCTACTCTGGGAGTGTCCAGAAGACACACCTTTCTGCAATACTTTGAGAAACAGATTTGTGAGGGGAGCCCAGCATCCTCGAATAACCTCCTGCTTTCTCTGTAGAATGAAAACCACAGTCACTCAATAAAAAATTTAAATGCATTGAGAATAAGTGGATCTCAGGAGTCCCAGGGCCAAATGGCAGCTGTCAACCTTCAAAGTCAAGGTGGGCATAGTTACCGTTAACAGTCAGCAAAGGTAAACCAACAGTCAGGTCAGTCTGACTCAATTTGATCTATGGTGTTGGCCAGAAAATCCTGGTACTCTTAGAAGTGAAATACGTAAGAGCCTAATAAGTTGTTAATTGATCTGAATATACTGAAAACATTCATGTTAAGTTTACAGAAGTTTAACTCAAAACAGAAAAGTAGAGAATCACAGCCCCTACTCAAATCCCAGATTAGAGCCAGTTTACAGTCAAGAATTCCTTGAAGGAGGGAGCAGCCAGGTCCCCTTGATGAAGGACCCAGGTATACCACAAAAGCTTTTATTCTGTTAATCTTTCTCCTATCCTTCCTAAAAGGGGACCTACAGCCTTTTAACAGGCTGTGTTTCAGGGAAAGGAAAATAGTAAGAACTTTGGGGAACTACTAGACACCGGCTCCGAGCTCACATTGATTCCACAAGACTCAAAAACATCACTATGGAATGCTAGTCAGAGCAGGGGCATATGGAGGTCAGGTGATTAATCAAGTTTTAGTCAGATCAAATCACAGTGGGTCTAGTGGGTCCACAAAC
This sequence comes from Homo sapiens, assembly GCF_000001405.40. Taxonomy (NCBI): domain Eukaryota; kingdom Metazoa; phylum Chordata; class Mammalia; order Primates; family Hominidae; genus Homo; species Homo sapiens. Next base: position 24,002,656 of record NC_000015.10, on the reverse strand, counting down.
ACATACTCTGGTAATTTCCCCAGTTGCAGATGCACAGCTGTAATAGACATAGTTAGCACTAGGCCCATTTCCCACATTGGTTCCCTGACCTGTGGAGTGAGGGCTAGTAAGGTGGGAAATCCTAAATGGAAGGCACTAGAGCTACCTAGGGAAATAGAAAATCAAATTCATAACCACATCCCTGGAGAAATTTCAGAGATTACCACCACTATCAAGGTCTTGAATGATGCAGGGGTTGTGATTTCACCACACACCTGTGTAATTTGGCCTGTGCAAAAGACAGATGGATCCTGGAGAGTGACAGTGGATTCCCATAAGGTAAACCAAGTGTTCCCTCTAATTGCAGCTACTATATCAGACATTATATTATTGCTTGAGAAAATTAACACATACCCTGGTACCTTGTATACTCCTATTGATCTAGTGAATGCTGTTTCTCTGTTTCTCTCCATAAGGTCCATCAGAAGCAGTTCAATTTCAGCAACAATGCCAGTAATATACCTTCTCTGTCCTACCTCAAAGGTGTATCAACTCTCCTTCACTAAGTCACAATTTGCAGAGAAGCTGATCACCTTCCCCTTTCACAAGGTATCACACTGGTCCATGGCATTGATGGCATTATACAGATTCAACCCAGTGGATGTGCAGTTAACAACTACTCTGAAAATATTTATAACATATTTTCATTTCAGAAAGTGGGAAAATCTCTTAAGAAGACAGCTTTTGCCAAAAGCAAAATGCAGTACTTCATGGCCCTATGCCAGAATAACGGACTGCAAAAGAAGTGTAAATTGACTTCCACAAAGATAAAACCCAGAGAAGGCAAGCAAATATTTCCTGAATTAGACTCTCCCCATGAAGTGCCTTATGATACCTGGTCCCTCCTGAGACCTACAGCCTCCTTAACACCAGTAGCTGCTGTATCAGACATGGTATTATACAGCAATTGCTGTAGGTGACACACCGGCTCCCTAGCAGTAACCCCCAGGGAAGTGTTCCTAAAAAGAGGAGGATATCCAGGATGGCTTGAAAACTCCCAGAGACAAGAGATTTTTCCAAAAGCCATAGCCACCCAGGTAGTTAAGGAGGCCCATGAGAGCTGAAATTATAGTACAGAACCCTGTACAATTGGCTCCTTCAAATGATGACCACTCCTAACCTTGGAGAGACAGCACAGCAAGCGACCAAGATTTGCTCTCTCTGCCAGACTAACAGCCCCCTAACAGACCACCCCCAAGGCCTCATGTTAAGCCAGTACAACTCAGGGAGTTTACCCTGGTGAGGACTGGCAACTATACTTTATAGTCATGTCCCAGACTTCTGGGAACTTTAGATACCTTCTAGTTGTGGGTGATATCTTCCCAGGATGGGTGCAGGTGTTCCCAACTCCCACTGAGAACACCTTCTAGGTAGCATGCCTTCTCTTAAAAAAATTTTTTCTGGCCGGACACAGTGGTTCACGCCTGTAATCCCAGCACTTTGGGAGGCCGAGGCAGGTGGATCACGAGGTCAGGAGTTCAAGACCAGCCTAGCCAACATGGTGAAACCCCATCTCTACTAAAAATACAAAAATTAGCTGGGTATGGTGGCGTGTGCCTATAATCCCAGCTACTTGGGAGGTTAAGGCAGAAGAATTGCTTGAACCGAGACCTGGGAGGCAGAGGCTGCAGTGAGCTGAGATCACGCCACTGCACTCCAGCCCAGGCTACAGAACAAGACTCCGTCTCAAAAAAAAAAAAAAAAAAAAATTCCTGGCTGTGCATGGTAGCTCATGCCTGTAATCCCAGAACTTTTGGGCCAAGGCAGGTGGATCACGAGGTCAGGAGTTCATGACCAGCCTGGTCAAGATGGTGAAACACCATATCTACTAAAAACATAAAAATTAGCTGGGCGGGGTGGCGGGCACCTGTAATCCCAGCTGCTAGGGAGGCTGAGGCAGGAGAATCGCTTGAACTCAGAAGGTGGAGGTGGCAGTGAGCAGAGATGGTGCCATTGCACTCCAGCCTGGGTGACAGAGCAAGACTCTGTCAAAAAAAAAAAAAATACCTTATGTTCGGGCTGACTAAAGCCATACAGTGACAACAGGCCAGCTTTTATATCTGAAATTATGCAAAAGTTAGTCCAAGGCCTAGAAATCCCCTGAAAACTCCACACAGCATGGAGATCCCAGTCCTCAGGAAAAATAGAAAGAATCAACTAAAGCTTAAACAGAATGTTGGCTAAACTGTGCTGGGAAACCAACAAAAACTGGCTTCCTCTCTTACCATAGTTCTCCTTAGAATAAGGACTGCACCCCCCAAAATAATTTTAACTGAGTGCATTTTAACTCGGTGTTCAATGTATGGGAGATCAATCCCAGAGGCAACCACAGGGAAGTGGTTGAGCCTACAGGAACTGGAACAACTAAAATATGCGTTACATATTAGGAACGTGGCCCGTGTTCTTGCAGCTTATAGAAACCAGGATTCTCCATCACCGACAGACCTGGTTCTGCATCCTTATGTCCATCGATATTAGGTATATCTGAAAATCTGGAAGGTTCAAAGTCCAGAGAGGCAATTAGGTCCAAAACGAATGGGGCCATACGTGGTGATTCTGACAACACATGCTGCCTTAAAGCTTCAGGGAGTCACCCCGCAGCTTCATCACACATGAGTGAAATGAGTGGATGCACCAGTGCAGTAAATTCCCTCGTACCAGGCTTAACCCATCTCAGATTTAAAATTGCTCTTCTGAAAAACCAACCTGACTCCCAAAAATATAAGTACAGGATACTTTGACCCATCTAAACGGTCGCTGCTGTAACACTTAAATGTCTCTACCCGCCAGGAGTGTTCTTGTGGGCTATCTGATGGCATTAGGGCTTGTCCTGTAGTCCTCAAAGCTGGTCTCTGGCTTAGAGATCTGTTTCCTTTTATTCCAGATCATCTTGATCATGTATCCCTGACTTGTGGCCCTCCTGGCATCTTGATAGAAAATTACATATATCTTAACTATACACCTTCAGGACTCCCTGATAGTCCCACAGTGTTTCCTTGAACTATCTCACCCTCTACCTCCTCATCTCTTAGCCACCTCAGGATACTTAAGCTAGGTAAGTAAAACTTTACTCTGACTTTTTCTTATACCACTTGGTCCTTTTAGTCCTCAACATCCAAGGGTCTCTGGGACACCAACACGACAGTCAAATTTTCCCATATTACATAGCCAGTGCAAACAATCTGTCTGAATGCTATATAACCACAGGTACCCCAAGACTGGGGGCGCAGGGCCCAGTGTGTACCTTCGGGAAGGTGGTTTCAACCTTAGAATGCTGCCATGGAAATCTAACCACCTACACCTGTTGCTGTCTACCTGAGAAATTCTCAGCATATGGGTTGCATGGATCCCGCTCCTAAAATCAACTACTTTTGTAGTCTAGCACTCACCTCAGGAAATGAAAAATATTGTTGACTCTACTATGCACCCCCTCCTCCAGCAATATTTCCAGCTCCAATAAGAAATATAAATTTCACCTGAACTCAAGAGGGCCCTCTGTCATTGTCAGAAGACTTCCCCTCCCCCTTGAGGCTCTCAGTTACTTCATGGGCTAAACTTCCGCATTCCCACAAGGGTTTGTGCATCCCCAAAGTATGTGGTCATTTGCGGCTCTCCTCACCACCACCTCCCTAACAGCTCCTCTGCTGCTACTTTTTCCTCCCCATTGCTAGTGGTAGATCACCCTGCTGTAGATAATGAAATACATATAGGACAATGTACAACAGGTGTTATGGAATACAGTGAGATAACCATTCATAATACAACCTGCCATTACAGTAGGCCAAAGATGAGTCTTGGGATGCTCCTGGCTCGAGGACTTGCTGTAGAGTTGGCTGACCCGTGAGTGGGGAAAAGCACTGTACGTACATGAGGATACCCTAATAAATACAACCCAAACAAAAAATCTAGCAAGTAATACCAGGAAGGTTATTCAAAATATACAACCTTCTTTCAATCGGCTAGCTAATGTAGTGCTGGACAATCAGTTAGCCTTAGACTAGCTCCTGGCAAAATAAACAAGAGTATGTGTGATCACCAATACCACTTGTTGCACCTGGGTTAAACCCTCTATGGAGATAGAAGCTAAAATAAAGCAAATATTCAAACAAGAAGAACGGCCTCACTCCTTTGTGTTGACCAAGAGCAGCTCTAAGGACATCTGGAGTGCAATAAAGAGTGTCCTGTTCAACCATACTTTGTTCCTGCTTGGCCTGCTGGTGATGATCCTGTTTTTAATCAATTTTTGACCCCAGTATTCAGGTTAAGAATGAGACTGGAAGCAATCAAGCTGCAGAGGGTAATCACCCAGGGATATGAGCAATTGGGGTTGCAGCCTAGAGACAATCAGATCTACCTTAGAATAGCAAGGGAAAGGTTTTGCTCCTCTAATTTATCAAGTGACAACACCCATAAACATCAGGAAGTAGCTCCAAAAGTTGGACCCCTGCCCCTCAGCAGCCGTCAAGAATGAGGAGAAAATAAACAGAGGTCATCTAGGACAGTCCTGATGAAATAACTGGGAATGTTCCTTTTTCCTACTCTTTTTCTTAAGTTCCTTATTTATAGGCACAGCTGCTGAAGGAAACCAGATGGCCTAGGAACATGCCAGAGCATCCTGACACCTGACCAGATACAGAGAAAGATAAGACTCTATGAAACTGAAGGAGTCTGGAACACGCAACCTTAAGTTACCTTCAGGTCATTAACATATTATTATAATGTTAAAATTCCCACCCGTAAAAGAGTATCTCTGCTATTCTGTGCATATGTGATGTATGAAGACATATGTTTACAAATTGAGCCTGCACATCTGGAGTCCCACCCCACACATGCTAATATTCCTTTCATTCCCCCACAGCTAGTCCTTAAGAACCCCATGCCTTTTGTTCATGCATTTAAAGAAAGAGCTTGCCTTCTCCAGTCGCTGGCCATCAAATAAAACCTAAGTGTCTTTTTCAATTAAATGTTCTTTCTGTACAACTAATCAAAAGTGAGGAAAGAGCCCAGTTTACCAGTGATACCTACAGGTGAATTCAGAGGAGGCCCTTCAGATTTTGCAGCAAGGCCCTGCCATCATCCACAGATAACTACTATTATTTTCATAAGCAGCTCTTGGCTTGTCACTGGGTCTTAACAAAAATGAAATGCATGACTGTGGGCCATTAAGTTACCAGGCAGCCTCAGCTGCCCATTATGAACTGGGCATTGTCTGTCATACCAAGACATAAAGTTGGATGTGCACAGCACCATCATCACATGAGACTAGTATATACAAAACTGGTCCCAAAAAGGCTGAGGAGGCACAAATAAGATACATAAAGTGTCCAAATACCCATGGTCTCCACTCCCATTACACCGCCTTCTCTCTAGAAGCATGTATCATGGCCTCAACTACAACCAGTTGAAGAAGAGAAGGCTAGAGCCTCACTTACTGACAGTTCTGCACAATATGCAGGCATCACTCAAAACTGTACAGCTGTGGCACTACAGCCCCTATCTGGGCCATTGCTGAAGTTTAGTAGAAAAGGGAGATCTCAATCAGCAGAATGTTAAGGAGGGCATATAGTTGTGCACTTTGCTTAGAAGAAAATCTGCTCAGAAGTGTAATTATACAATGATCCAAGGGTTGCAGCCAATGGTTAGGCCAGATGGTCAGGGTCTTTAAAAATACATGATTGAAAAATTGGTGACAAAGCAATTTGCAGGAGTGGTACAGGAATAGACCTCTCTGAGTGGCCAAAAATTTAAAACATCTGTGTCCTATGTGGATGCTCACCAAAGGATGGTCACCTCAGCAGAGGAGGACTCTAATCATCCAGTGGATGGGATAATGCACTCTATGACACTAGTCAGTTTCATTCCCCACCCACCTGTGTCATCACCCACTAGACTCATGAATAAAGCGGCCACAGTGGTAGGGATGGGATTATGCATGCACACAGCAACCTGGAATTCCACTCACCATAGCCAACCAGGTTACAGCTCCCTCTGAGTGCTCAAACTGTCAGCAGCAGAAATTAACACCCACTGAGCCCCTCATATGGCACCATTCCCCAGGATGATCTGGCAACTCCCTGGTGGTAGGCTGATTACCTTGGGCAGCTTTCATCAAGGAAGGGGCAGCATTTTGTCTTTCCCTGAATAGTAAGATAGTTACTCTTTCTATAAATTGAAATTTATAGAAATTTAAAGAAATAGCACATAATTATTCTGTGAAAACTACCATCCATAGACATACAGAATACCTTATCTACCATCATGGTATTTCACACAGCATCACTTCTGAACAGGGAACTCATTTCACAGACAAAGAGGGGCAGAAGTGAGTTCATGCTCAGAAACTTCTGTGAGTTTACCATGTCGTCTGTAATCCTGAAGAAAGTGGCTTGATAAAATTACGGGATGTCCTTTGGAGACTTCGGGTCCAGCACTTGCTAGGTGACAGTACTTTAGGAGACTGTTGCAAGGTTCTCTGGAAGGCTATACGTCCCGTGAATCAGCACCCATTATATGGTGCTGTTTCTCCCCAAACCAGAATTTACATATAGTTCAGGAATCAATAGATTATAATGAGAATGGCCCACCTAGCCACTTTCAAATCTTCAGGTCCCTGAACCAACAGCCTAAGAAGGGGGGTTGCACTGTTGTTTGGGGTAATTGATCCAGATTACCAGGGGGAAATTGGACAAGTACTCCACAATGGAGGACAGAAGAGTATGTCTGGAATACAGATCTCCTTGTGTCTTCTGTGTTTGAAATATTTGTCCCCTACCAAACTCATTGTGAAATGTAATTCCCAGTGTGGCAGTTATTCAGAGGTGTGGCCTTTAAGAGGTGTTTCAATCAATCATGACTGGCCTGCCCTCAAGGATGAATCCATTCATTCATGGATACATAAATTAACGGGTTATCATGTGAGGGCCATTGGTGGTTTTGTTAAAGGAAAAAAGACCTGCATTAGCATGCTCAGCCCTGCCAGAAATAATAAGTTCCTCTTCAAAGCTTTCTTGGTCTTTCTGGCTCTACATACAGCCTTTTCTGCTTGATCTGTAACAAGCATGTTTCTCTCCTTAATCTTTAACTAGCAAATCTATTACTCTGTAAACAACCCTTCGCTGTGCCCAGACATGCCTTGTATTTGTTCTGTAAACAACCCTTCCTACCTTAGCAACGAACAGCCTCTCCCTTCCTGCCTAATTAACCATATTCAATTTCCAACAGTAGCCAATCAGGTTAGCTTAGATTGTGTGGTCTAACTCCAGCCAATGGGGAAAGGACATAGCAACAGAGATTGCATTAAGGATAAAAACCCCTGCCCTACCCCACTCAGTGTACTCTTGCCATTAGACAGACACAGGCAGCACCCTTCTGCAGAAGCAAATGTGCCTTGCTAAGAAATTTTCTAAGTGCTCCTTTTTCTTAGCAACACCAAGCACTTGTTTCTAACAGCCCCCTAACCAGCTGATATCCTGCATGTCATGAGGACTCTTTAGAGAGTCCCCACCAGCAAGAGGCTCTCACCAGATGTGGCCCCTCAGCCTCGGACTTAACAGCTGATGTAAGTTATCAGTGTATTATCATAAGAAATACATTTATTTTCTTTATAAATGACCCAATATTTTGTATCCTGTTATAAGCAGAAAAAAGGGACTAATACAGAAAATTGGTAATAAGAAATAGGTTGCTGTTGAAACTGAGTATCTAAAAATGTGAAAGTGGCTTTCAAACTGGGTTGTGGGCAGAGGCTAAAAGAACCTTGAGAGGCAGACTAGAAAAACCCTGTGTTCTTGTGACAATTCAGAAGACAAAAAGACTGGGAAGTATTTGGAAGTCCTTAGAGATTGATGAAGTGGTTTTGACCAGACTGCTGATAAAACTATGGAGACTAAAGGCTATGCTGACAAGGTTTCAGATGCAACTGTTATAGGAGTTATTAAGCAAATACAGTGGAAAAGGGGTCCTTGGAAAGTTTGTGTGTCTTTTAAAGCAGCTCCAGAAACGTTTCTTGTCTAGCAGGAAAGCCCTGGCTCTTAGAGCCAGGTCTGCAACCTTTGATATGCAAATACGGGCCATTAGAAACTGAGTCTACCCAAAGATGGTGATTCCTGCCCTCTTCTTCCTTGCCCCCACATGTGCCTGGCAACATGGCCACCCCCACATATCCCCATGTGTTAAAACATCATGGTGCTCTGCATTTGCATATTAAAAGTCTAGGGTGGGAGGGCCAGTTTTTTTGAGGGCTACTTGAGTGACTTGCCTGGTCAAACCCATCCCTTGAGCCCTACGCAAATCAGACACCACCTCCTCCAGCCTACTCATATAAGCAGCCACTTTTCCGTGGCACATGGGGTCTCCTCTCTTGGATTTGGAGCTGCCCTCCCTCTGTTTTCTTTCTTTTCCCTTCTTGCCTATTAAACTCTCCACTCCTTAAAACCACTCCATGTGTGTCCATGTCATCTTATCTAATTTGGCGTGAGAGAAGAGCCCTAGTGTTCCTCCACTCATCGGAGCTGTATCACAACTAAGGAAAAACAATATTGGAAACTAAAGAACATCTCTGTTAAAAATTGGCAATTTTGTCTTTTGTTGCCATTGCTTTTGGTGTTTTAGACATGAAGTCCTTGCCCATGCCTATGTCCTGAATGGTATTGCCTAGGTTTTCTTCTAGGGTTTTTATGGTTTTAGGTTGAACGTTTAAGTCTTTAATCCATCTTGAATTAATTTTTGTATAAGGTGTAAGGAAGGGATCCAGTTTCAGCTTTCTACATATGGCTAGCCAGTTTTCCCAGCACCATTTATTAAATAGGGAATCCTTTCCCCATTGCTTGTTTTTCTCAGGTTTGTCAAAGATCAGATAGTTGTAGATATGCGGCGTTATTTCTGAGGGCTCAAATGGGATCTAATTAAACTAAAGAGCTTCTGCACAGCAAAAGAAACTACCATCAGAGTGAACAGGCAACCTACAAAATGGGAAAAAATTTTTGCAACCTACTCATCTGACAAAGGGCTAATATCCAGAATCTACAATGAACTCAAATTTACAAGAAAAAAACAAACAACCCCATCAAAAAGTGGGCAAAGGACATGAACAGACACTTCTCAAAAGAAGACATTTATGCAGCCAAAAAACACATGAAAAAATGCTCATCATCACTGGCCATCAGAGAAATGCAAATCAAAACCACAATGAGATACCATCTCACACCAGTTAGAATGGCAATCATTAAAAAGTCAGGAAACAACAGGTGCTGGAGAGGATGTGGAGAAATAGGAACACTTTTACACTGTTGGTGGGACTGTAAACTAGTTCAACCATCGTGGAAGTCAGTGTGGCGATTCCTCAGGGATCTAGAACTAGAAACACCATTTGACCCAGCCATCCCATTACTGGCTATATACCCAAAGGACTATAAATCATGCTGCTATAAAGACACATGCACACGTATGTTTATTGCGGCACTATTCACAATAGAGACTTGGAACCAACCCAAATGTCCAACAATGATAGACTGGATTAAGAAAATGTGGCACATATACACCATGGAATACTATGCAGCCATAAAAAGGATGAGTTCATGTCCTTTGTAGGGACATGGATGAAACTGGAAATCATCATTCTCAGTAAACTCTCTCAAGAACAAAAAACCAAACACCGCATATTCTCACTCATAGGTGGGAATTGAACAATGAGATCACATGGACACAGGAATGGGAACATCACACTCTGGGGACTGTTGTGGGGTGGGGGGAGGGGGGAGGGATAGCACTGGGAGATATACCTAATGCTAGATGACGAGTTAGTGGGTACAGCTCACCAGCGTGGCACATGTATACATATGTAACTAACCTGCACAATATGCACATGTACCCTAAAACTTAAAGTATAATAATAAAAGAAAAAAAATTTGGCAAATAACTTTGCTGAACTGTGTCCATGCCAAGGGCTTTGTAAAGACACTGACTACTGACTGAAGAACTAGGTAATCTGGCAGAAAAAATTTCTAAAGCCACAAAGTGTTCATATTACTTCTAAGCTGTGTGTGTGGTTACTTCTAACTGCTTAAGGTGAACTGCTAGAGAAAACACACACAAACACACACACACACACACACACACACACACACACAGAAAAATTCTAAAAATTTTCAGCCTAGCCATGTGGTAGAGAATGAAAGAGCATTTTCAGGAGAAAAATCCAAGGATGTCGCAGAGCCATAGCTTGCCAGAAATTACAATGGCTAAAGCACAGCCAGCTGTTAGTAGTCAAGACAACGGGAAAGAGGCCCCTACAACCATTTCAGTCATTTTCTAGGCTGCCTCATCCATTGCAGGCCGACAGGCCTAAGGGGACAGGGTGGTTTCTGGGGACAGCCTGGGCCACTGCCCTGCACATTGTTAGGATGTTGCTCTGCTCATTCCAGATGCTTACCATAAACCCAGGTGGAGCTTATGTCCCAGAGCTCTGGGAGGTACAAGCCCTAAACCTTGGAGGTGTCCATGTGGTGCTAATCATGTAGGCTTACAGAAATGAAGATATGTAGAGGCTTGGCAGTTTCTACAAATTTCAAAGGATTTCTCTGAAAGCCTGGAAGTCCAAAAAGACACTTGTCACAGGGCCAGATCCACTGAAGAGAGTCCCAAATAGAGGGATGCCAAACACAAATGTGGGGTTAGAGCTACTGCAAGGGGTGCCCACCAGGGCAATGCTAAGTGAAGCCACAGCAGTGAGGTCACTGCAGAGTTCCATGTGGGTAATGCTTAGCAAAGTTGAGGAAGTGGTACCACTACCGGGACCCCCCAGAAATGTGTAGTCACCTACAGCATGCAATGTCTGCCCTGGAAAACTTCATGTACCTGACTGCAACCTGTACAAGCACCCACGGAGAATGTACCAAGCAAAGCCATAGGAGTGATAGTACCCGAGGGCCTGTGAGTCCAACCTTTACCCCAGTGTGTTCAGGAGTCAGAGAAAGAGTCAAAAAAATATTCCCCAGCTTTAAGATGTAATGGTTGCCCTGCTCGATTTCAAATTTGCTTGAAGACTGTTACTTTTTGTCCATTTCTCTCTTTTAGAAAGGGAATGTGTACATTATGCTTATCCTGAAATTGCCTTTGCAAAAATGGTAACAGAAAATTATGACAGTGAAAGAGAGATGACCTAAGTTGACGCCATCTTGCCTTTTAACCTCTAAGCTGCCTTTGTTCATTCCTGGGAAAAGGCCAAACTAACTTTGGGAGGAATTTAGTTGCTAGCTTAACTTTGAAACGAAGATGACAAGAGAACCTCCCTGAAACAAATCCCCTCATTGTTTGGGGACTAGACCACTCCTGCAAACACACGAAAATAACCACAAGATTAGAAAGTATTACTCAGGAGTCATAAAGCCAGAGGCCACAAGACTATTAACCTCCCCAGCGGCTCCTATAGATAACCTATTAATACAGTAAAACCTAAGATTGTAGTTTGAGGGATTTTTCGGACCTTGTATTCTGATGAATCAGCTGGTGCTTCCCGAAACAGTAACCTGTCTCATCTGGACTTGTGGCCCCCACACAGGAACTGACACAATGCAAGAGGAGATGTCCTCCTGTTGCCTATCTGTCCTCCTATCTGCTTACTATAATTTCATCTCTGACCCAAATAATCTAAATTCCCCATTCTCCAGCCTCCTGCATTCCAAATTATCTACAAAAAAATCCTAACCTCAGATTTTTTTGGAAGCTTGCTTTGAGTAATAATATAAATCTTGTCTCTTGTTTACCTGGCTCTACAAGTATCAAACCCTTTCTCTATAGTAATTCCCCTCTTGATAAATTGGCTCCATCTGGGCATCAGTCAAGATGAACCCATGAGGCCATTACAAACTTAGGAGCTCATAGGGATATATCCCTTGTGTTTGCCAATCTCTCACTAGTGGCAGATCTGGAGAACAGCCCAATTTTCTGCCTAGTTCTCTTCAAATAAAGGCTGTCTCTGGCACTGTATCTACCAGCAGGGTGCTACTTACCCACAGTGTATGGATCTAACTGGAATAGAGAAATAATTCCTGGAATGAAAAATGTTAGCTGGTTTGGTGAGTATTCCACTTCTCCTGATCTGTTGGCCCCTCTAGAGGCATTGCAGCTCTATCATGGGAACTGTCCAGCTCTCCCTAGATTGCAGGAAGAGGCTCTGTTGGCCTCAAAGGTACTGTGGCCCCATCATGGGGTCTGCCTGTATCTCCCTGAATTGTAGTAAGAGTCTTGGTTTGAGGAGATTTCTCTCTCCAGTTGGAAGGGAATAGGGGACACGTTTGGAGGAATACTCTTCTGGTTTGGATTTGATCAGAAATTTTGGTTTGGAAGGCCTTCTGTTTTTCTGTATTTCATTGAGGGAGTTTGCATGTATGGAGGAGATCTCTGAAGAAATTGTTGATGGAATTACTGCAGGCTTTCCTAGTTTGTCTGATCATTCGGGTTTAGTGAGCGTTACAGGAACTGCTAGCAGGAGCTGAATAGGTCTAACTGAGGGTGACCATCCACCCTTCCATGTTACCTGGGGAGCACCCATTGAAACTACTTTTTGGAGGTCATCTCTCCCTATCTTGAGTGGATCAAAGATGACAGGGGCCAATGGCAACAAGTTAAAGCTTTGCCAAATCAATACTTTGATGGTGAGTGGGGTGATTAGTATCTGTATTTTGTCACATGCATTTTGCTCTGGCCAACATGAGGAGTGTTAATTTGGTTCCCATTGCGGCCCACTGGGTGGCATCTTGCAAAATTTTGTAACACAGCTTGGCCCCCACAGATATGGTGCAGAAAACAGGGTCATCAAAAGTTGCTCCATTCTCCTGGAAGCTGCAAAGGGAACTTGGAAAACTGGCAAGCTAGCAAAAAAGTAAAAATTTCTTACCAGCCAACCTCTCCCTGTGCAAAACCAGTGGAATGAATTGTAAAAGTCACTGTTTGTCTCCTCTGCAAGTTTTGATTAGAAGAAAAACAGATCTATGTGACTAAACTTTTTGTCATTCGGTTGTCAATCTGTCATAGAGAGGAGTACCACAGAATAGAACGTAGGCCTAAGACCCCTAAAAACTCAGTGTTTGAGCTGGCCCTGCGCACTGGTTAGTTACAAACTTTCTTGCAGGTTCCTGAAAAAAAAAAAAAGTGACATTTTCCTCTTTTCTCATTTTTTGTCCTTGAGAACTTAACTTTGTAACCATGTGAGAGTACTGTCCCTTTTTCTCCCACATATGGAGGGTTGGAATTTTTTATTCATGTCAGGCACCCAGTCTGAAAGGACACATTGAAGTCACAGCTTCTCTATGTCTGTTTATTGATATGCTTCATAAGTATAATATTTCACTACCAAAATATTTAAAAGAGCTCTAATGAATTGGCATGTCTATATAATGCACTTAAATATTTTATCACAAGAAAATTAACTACATTGCCTTTTAGTTCACATGACTCTAATAATCTGTGAATAATAAAGACAGTTTTATAGATTATTGGTAAAATAAAATTAAAATGTCTTCAATATTTAAATATTTGGTCTAAATTAGGCAGGTCAGATACTGTCTTTGCCAAATGATTTAAGGTTATAAACTGCTTCTGAGACTTTTTATAATTGCCTAATCTGCCTGCATTAGAGGCATTAGCTTCTAGATAAGGACTGGGGGACATGTTGAGTTAGCTATGCCCTGTAACTATGCTGGAAAGGGTCCGATATTATCTACAGTTCTGTCCTGTGTCCTAGGCTCTGTACTTGGTACAAAATTAACACTGAGTTCACTAAAAATAAAAGTTGTTAAGACTCTACATTGTAATATACATAATTGAGACTACTGAAAAAAGATTTACATGAAAGGTATATAAAAATTATATGTTTTGGTAAAAAATTATACAAAGACATAAAAATGTTAAAATAATTTTGTCTAATTTAGAGGATTTTAAAAAATCATCTCAAGTTAAAAAGGAAAACCTGAAGGTTTAAGCAACTTATAGATTTATAAAAGATTGAACTTGTAAAGAAAGTTCTGTGTATGAGCAAGCTGCCAAAATTTGAAGGGGATTAGTTTTTCTTTTTTTTTTTTTTTTTTTTTTTTTTTTGAGACAGAGTCTTGCTCTGTCATCCAGGCTGGAGTGCAGTGGCACGATCTCGGCTCACTGCAAGCTCCGCCTCCCAGGTTCACACCATTCTCCTGCCTCAGCCTCCCGAATAGCTGGGACTACAGGTGCCCGCCACCACACCCGGCTATTTTTTTTAGTAGAGATGGGGTTTCACCGTGTTATCCAAGATGATCTTGATCTACTGACCTTGTGATCTGCCCACCTTAGCCTCCCAAAGTGCTGGGATTACAGGCTTGAGCCACCGTGCCCAGCCAGGGATTACTTAGTTTTTCTACAGAATAAACATTAAAATAAAATGTACACTGATATAGGCCCAGAGTCTGCAGCCCTGTGTGTGATAAATGGAGTTTTCATGGAGCATTAATCTGCTCTTTAGTATACAATTGTAAAATGCCATAAAATATTTATGAAACTCTTACTTTATAATCAAACTGATTTAGATTAGATAATGTGTTTATAAGGTTTTATATAAAAATTGGGTTTAATATTAATAGTACACTAATGAAGCAGAGAGAATAATAATAACAGAAATAGTAAAAATGAAACAGTAATGACATAGTAATAGTTTCTTCCATAGAATGCTAAGCCTGGGCTAAGAGGGCTATAGGTAACCCCTACCCCGAAAATGGAGTTAAGACAGACTATTAATTGCCCTTCTGTGAAACACTAACCATATCTACCCTCTGCAAATTTTGTAAGTTCCTGTTTTTCTAGCTGTGCAGCTGCAAGGCCACAAGATAAGCACAAGCTGCAAAACATGTTTTTTCCCCAAGATGTAAGACATGTCACAAGAAGATTAACTGCTTTTGTTCTCACTTCTGTAAATCTGCTTCCCACTTCATGTTTTTCCTGCCCCAAATGCATAAAAGGCACGTGCTTTCTTTGTTTGATGCTCAGACTTTCTGGATGCAAGTCCACTGAGCTGGTGTACACCTTAAACAAACCCTCCTGAACCCCTTCGGTCTCTCCAGTTCTCTGATTTTCCCGCTACACTAATGCAGAGGTAAAATTTGTTTTTTTTTTTTCTTTGAACAAGGCTTTTGTATAATATTGAAGGATAATAAAATATTTTTGTTCGCCTTTTAAATAAACTGAAAAACACCGAGAGAGAAGAGACAGATGTGGTCGGCCTCATGCTGTCTTTATTGGTTCTTGTTTGGAGAGATGAGTCTCCCTTCTCTATCAATGAGTAGAGATTTTTGACTTTTTGAAATTGAGTTATTTTCTAAATAAATGATGTGTGGTTATCTGGGATTCCATTTTGTGATATGAAGTGTTTTAAACCTTTAATATTTGAAAAACTTTGAAAAATCAAATTGTAAATTAAGTCTTTTTTTTTTCTACCTAATTAACCTTTTAAGTATTGGGTCCGCTGAACTCCAAAAGACGTATTTGCCTTATTTGGTATATTGACCACACAGAAAACATTGTCAAATACAAAATGGTGTTGAATTTTCTTTGCATTATATTTATATAAATGTAAATATGTATTCCAAAATTATGATTCCTATAATCCTCATTTCATTGTGATTAGTAATAATTATGATTATGTTAAATTATTATGTGCCACAGAGATGACCAGATTTTCTTGTTGACTGTGTCTTTAACAATGGCTGTCCTCATCAGGCATGGTGGCTCATGCCTGTAATCCCAGCATTTTGGAGGCCAAGTATGGAAGATTGCTTGAGCCCAGGAGTTTGAGACCAGCCTGAAAAAGACCTCATCTCTACAAATAAGTATAAAAATTAGCTGAGTGTCACCCAGCATGGTGGCTCATGCTTGTAATCCCAGCACTTTGGGAGGCTGAGGCAGGTGGATCACCTGAGGTCGTGAGTTTGAGACCAGCCTGACCAACATGGAGAAACCCCAGGTCTGCTAAAAATACAAAAAATTCGCCAGGTGTGGTGGCACATGCTTGTAATCCCAGCTACTTGGGAGGCTGAGGCAGGAGAACTGCTTGAACCCAGGAGGCAGAGAATACGGTGAGCCTAGATCGTGCCATTGCACTCCAGCCTGAGCAACAAGAGCAAAACTCTGTCTCAAAAAAAAAAAAAAAATAGCTGAGTGTGGTGGCACTTGCATGTAGTCCCAGCTACTCTGAGGACTGAAGTGTGAGGATTTCTTGATCCCAGGAAGTTGAGGCTGCAGTGAGCCGTGATTGTGCCACTGCACTCCAGCCTGGGTAACTAACTAAGATGCTGTCTCAAAAAAAAGTAAAAGTAAAATTAAAAATCAATGGCTGTCCTGAAACCTTTGTCATCCACAGATAACTGTTGCATTATTTTGATCCTTTTCAAAAAGTGATTTGCTTTATGAAAGGTTCTTTGAATACAGGTTTCTGATAGAGACTGTGCCAGTGAAATAGAAAAAACATACTTTCATAGATAGCTGATATTTTCATGAGGACTACTGGCCCAGTGTCAGGCAGTACAAGAGTTAATTACATGGACTGAACTAATAGGAGACCGAAGTAATCCTTTTATGATTTGTTGCTTAAAATGTTGTTGATCCAGCCAGGTGTGGTGGCTCACGCCAGTAATCACAGCACTTTTGGGAGGCTGAGGCAGGCAGATCACCAGGTCAGCAGATCGAGACCATCCTGGCCAACATGGTAAAACCCTGTCTCTACTAAAAATAAAAAAAAAAAATAGTTGGGTGTGGTGGCAGGCGCCTGTAGTCCCAGCTACTCGAGAGGTTGAGGCAGGAGAATTGCTTGAACCCAGGAGGAAGAGATTACAGTGAGCCGAGATGGTGCCACTGCACTCCAGCCTGGAGACAGAGTGAGACTCTGTCAAAAATATATATATATATATGTTGCTGATCCTTTTGTTGTCGCTGTTTTTCAGTGTCAAGGAAGCTTTTTTGTTTGGAGAGCCTTTTTGTTGTTTTTCAGTGTCAGCTGAGCTTTTAACAATTGAGTTTTGTTTTGAGCTTTTAACAACTGAGTGAAGTATACTCCTGTGAGTAAAATTTGAAGCATTATTTCTCTCTGCCTGGTTTCTCCAGAATTTGAAAATTGTTTATTTTTTTTAAACATATGGATAATTCGTTATTTACATTTAAGAATCTGTTTTCTTTTATAACAGGAAACAACTGGATACACTGGTTATTTTACCAAAATATGCCTATTTTACCAGTGGAATGACATACTTTCACATATAAACAGACTGCCTTAAGGAATTCAAATTGACTAATAGAAATGATGAAAGCCCTGGGGGGGAATCTGGCCTCATACCTTGTCTGCGCAGTCTTTGTACAGGGTTCCTGACCAGAGATAGGGAAAAATGTTACTTTCTGACAGGTCTACGATCCCCATGTTATCTTGGGATGTCAAGAAGAGAGGAATTCACCCAATCCATACACGCATTTGTAGACACAGATAAATCCATGGGTTGACTCAAGGCTTTTAAAAATGTCTAATCTAAAACAAAGTTCCAGCAAAGCCAATTTAGAAACAGCTAATATGGCAAATAATTATTCTTGCTTCACTTTATGCAAATAATAAGGCTAGGTATAATAATGCCAAAACTTATTTTGTAAATAAATGTGTCCTACTATGATGTGTCTTTAATAAAAATGAGAACTAGAACAAGAAAAATTATATTTCAGAAAAATACTATAGCAGACCTGTTGTTAAGATTCTAGTCTTGCCCATTGTTTTTGAGCTTTTAATTATTTTCTGCACTTTGGAAAACTCTGAACTCTTTCAGAGCCAAATACCCCCAAACTAACACTTTCCAATTTTTCTTCCATTTTTACTGACCTGGACTCAATGAAATTGCTATTACCTCTTTCCTGAAGCCCTGCACGCAGATGCTTATTTCTTGTGATACAGGTGATTTGAAAATATGTCAGACTGCCATTGCCTTAAAAATATTTGAGTTTATCATGTGGATACACTGTGCTCAACATTAACCTTTGTAGTTTTTTTCTATTTCTGTTCAAATGCCTGTTATTAAAAATTTTTTCTGCCTTCATCACAAATAGAGGCCTAGTCCATCTGCAATTCTACTTTCTAAAATGAAACATAAATATTTAACTGAATGAATCTATTTGCAGGACTAGGAAATTAACTAAAAAGATGTGGAATGGTATATATAAATTTACTCTTTCCCATTTATTCCAATTTGTCTTTCTAACAACTTATGGCTCAAATCTATCTTGACTACTGACCCCATGTCTGACTGGTTCTTGGGGCTATTCCCCTGAATCCCTCAGGAATTTAGATGAATTATATAAGGACTTCTGAAGCTCGGACTTCTACTTCTTACATTAGGACTCATTGTCCTACAGTCTGCTGCTCACTTAAGTGCTGTACTAAAATTGTGGATGAGCGTACTAACATCTTTGTCATGCAAGCCTAGGAACCCCAACGAGGCACCTGTGAATACATGCAGGCAGCTGCAAAGCAGTTTCATTCCATTTACCCTGGGGCCAAACCCTATCCCAAGTACAAGCCCTGTTGGCAGGAAGAAGTTAGTCTTCAGCCTCTTCCCAACTGCCTGCCTCACACCTTAAGAATAATGTGCAGTAAAACCCCAAAAAGAGAATTGAAATCATCTTTGTAAAAACTGTAACACTGACAAAATTGTGACAGTGAGAGGGATGACCTAAATGACTTCATCTTGCCTTCAGCCTCCAAGTTGTCCTTGTTCAATCATGGGCAAAAGTCAAACTAACTTTGGGAGGAATTTATTTTATAGCTTAACTTTGAAACAAAGATAGTAACAGCTCTTTCCTGAAACAAAACCGCTCATTGTTTGGAGACCATATTGCCTTTGTAAAACTCACAAATTAACTATGGGGTTATAAAGTATGGCTCAGGAGTCATACATCCAGATGCCACAATATTACTAACCTCCCCAATTGCTCCCATAAATAGCATTACTATTGTAAAACCTAAGATTTGTGTTTGATATATTTTTCTGATCTTGCATACTGATGGATCAGCAGGTGCCACCCAAACCAGTAAACCGGCTCATCTGGACATGTGGCCCCCATCCAGGAACTGAGTCAGAAAGAGAAGATGACTTTGACTTCCTAAGATTTTATCCCTGACACCCACCAATCAGCATTCCCCTTTCCCTAGCCCCTTGCATGCCAAACTATCTATAAAAACCCTAGCCTCTTAATATCTGGGGAGGCTGTTTGGAGTAATAAGAAAACTCTGGTCTCTCCTTTAGCCAGCTCTACATGTACTAAGTTTTCTCTACATAGCAATTTCCCTGTCTTGGTAATGTGGCTCTATCTGGGCAGCAGCCAAGATGAATCCATTGGGCCTTAACAATCTAATCACTGAATTTTGTATGAAGATAACTTGTTTTGATTTGTTAGGCTGACAGATGAGACTTTGGATTTTGGAACTTTCGGTTGGTGCTGGAACAACTTAAGCCTTGAACTATAGAAATGGAACAATTTTTTTTAAGTGACAGGGCATGATTTTTAGAAAGCCAGAAGTAGAGGGCTCTCCTCACAAACTCATGTTTAAACTTCATTCCTAATGTGGCAGTCCTGAGATGTGAGACCCTTAAAAGATGACTGGATCATGAAGAGTTTTCCCTTATGATTAAGTTAATCCATTCATGGATTAATACACTGATGAGTTTTAGAATAATGTGTTATTAAGACAGAAAAACTGATAGCTTGTAAGAGGGGAGACCTGATCTTCCATGTTAGCAAGCTCCACTGCATTGCCATATGATACCCTGCATGGCTTCAGGACTCTTTGGAGAGTCCCAAGAAGCAACAGGACTTCACCACATGTGGCCCCTAAACGTTCCACTTTTCAGCCTCCATAACTGTAAGAAATATATATGTCTTCTTTATCAACTACTCAGTTCCAGGTATTTAAGTAACAGAAAATGGGCTAAAACAAAGTCTCTTAGTATTACTACGACCTGTTATTAAGTTCAATGGAAAACTACAACCATTCCCGGCAACAGTACAAATGGTCCAGATCTTTCAGGAATGAAGGTCTGCATCACCCTGCCAGGTAAAGACCTCAGACCAGCTGAGGAGCTTGCT
Organism: Homo sapiens; assembly: GCF_000001405.40. NCBI lineage: Eukaryota > Metazoa > Chordata > Mammalia > Primates > Hominidae > Homo > Homo sapiens. Next base: position 23,982,478 of record NC_000015.10, on the reverse strand, counting down.
GAACACAAAGAGAATACAGAGTGGGGAGCAGTGGAAGGAATTTATAAATACCAGTTAGGACCAGGTGAACAGTTACAGAAACAAGGATTAAAATTATCACTAGTATTTCCTATCTACTTTAAGAATACATTTGTGTGTTTATATACATATATTAGGCAAATAACTTTGTTTTCATCCCTCTCTTCTTTTATCACATAACCCAAGAATGCATTGATCTGATAGTAGCAGTTAAGTATTAGTAATTTAACATATTTGTATTGAAATTATGGGATATCAGAATAGTAAACTTCACCCACAAACTTTTACTACTCTAAAAAAACAGATTAGTATGTTTTGGTTGTATACAGAATAATTGCATCATGTTGCCTTATTACTGTCTGTATTTGGAGATTAGTATGGCTTAAGGTGATACATATAGGTGCCAGGTAGAAAGGTGATGGGCTTTTCGTGGTTAATTTAATGTAGATTAAAGAATACCTAGAGAACTGATAAAGCATTACTTCTGGATGTGTCTGCCAGGGTATTTCCAGAGGAGATTGTTGTGTGAGGGAAGGAATTTAGTGAGGAAAATACACCCATAATGGAAGCAGGCACCATACAATCCCCTTGATGACCCAGTATAACCTAAAGTGAAAGTTTTAAAAAAGCTATCTCCCTCTCTCTCTCCCCCAATCCCTGCCCACCCCCTTCGGCAGGTACACTTCTTTTCCTGCCCTTGACAGAACTCTGAATTCTCTGACCTTGAAACTCCAGGACTTTTAAGAGGGAAACCTGTGGATTCTCAGGCCTTTGGTCATAAACTGAGAATTACAATAAGGGCTTTCCAGGTTCTGAAGATCTCAGGCTTATAGCCATGCTGTAACATTCTACAGTCTTAAACTTTACAAATGGGCCGGGCACAGTGGCTCATGCCTGTAATCCCAGCACTTTGGGAGTCTGAGGCGGGCGGATCACGAGGTCAGGAGATTGAGACCATCCTGGCTAACACGGTGAAACCCTGTCTCTACTAAAAATACAAAAATTAGCTGGGCATGATGGCGCACGCCTGTAGTCCCAGCTACTCGGGAGGCTGAGGCAGAATAATGGTGTGAACCTGAGAGGCAGAGCTTGCAATGAGCTGAGATCGCGCCACTAAACTCCAGCCATGGCAACAGAGCGAGACTTCGTCTCAAAATAAATAAATAAATAAATAATAAACTTACCAATGGCTGTCCTGGGAATTCTCAGCCTCTATAATCATGTGGGCGAATCCCCAAATAAAAATGCCACTATTCTATTATCTTGCTATCAACTATCTATGTATTGATCTGTCGATGTATCTAATCTATCTACCTACCTATCCTACCTACCATTTGTCCTGTCTCTCTAAAAAAAAAAACTGAGAAATACACCCATAAAGGCTTCAGCCGACTGGCCCATTACCCTGTCTGCTGTAGTTGCTCCCCCACCACCCATACTGTTTGTGAGTGTGTGTCCCGGAGAGCTCTTCCCTTCCTATTGCTGCTTCAAGGAATGCTGCCCTCCACTCTTTGATTGGTTAATAATAATACATTACTAATGTCATTATACACCTTTTGTTGAGTTACCTCCTCTGTGTGTCGCTTTACAAACACATGAAGACCTCACTTTTTTTTCCCCAGGCAGCACTCTCCTAGAGAGTGGCTATCTTGTTAGAAATAACACACAGGTCTGACAGGAGCTACAAGGATGTCTTCCAGTAAAAGCAAGTATACTGTGTGAGAGAAATACCTGGATGCAAGTTGGATTATTAGGCTTTAGGCCATCAACCAAGTTGAATAAACATCCCATGAAAAGCATACCCTGTACCAAAGCCTGAGTTCTACTGGGCAAGGCTATAGATTATAGCCACTACCCAGAGACAGACATCAATAACAAACAGAAATAAAAATGAAACATACGCTATGAGATAACTTTACAAACTGTAATTCCAGGAACCCATTGAGAGAAAAATAAAAATGGCAAAGCAGTACTTGAAAGTCTGTGCTGGAGTGGTAGCTCTTTAAATACATAGAAAAATCTGTATCTAGAGAATTGCAGCCCTAAATATAAGCAACGATCTCTGTAACTTACACTCTAAATCCAATTATTCATTTATTTATTATTTATTTAATTATTTTAGAAACCGAGTCTCGCTATGTTGCCCAGGTTGGAGTGCAATGGCTACTCACAGGCACAAGCACTGCACACTACAGCCTAAAACTCCTCACGTCAAGTGATCATCCAGCCCAACCTCCCAAGCAGCTGCAACTACATGCCCATAGCACCACACCTGCCCAGTTAGAATTTTTAAATCAAGAAAGTTGCATTTCTTTTTCCTCTTTCCCGTGGTCATTTTAATCACATGGATGATGATCATGCAAATCATTTTAAGATCAGTTACTGCACATGTAGATGTAGTATAGTTTCCATCTTCTGTGTTGTCTACTTGTTACATAGCTCAAGTGTACTTCTGGATGCTTTGGAAAAAAAATGGACTTTCATGTTCCCTGAAGAATAGAGTGAATAGGCCGGGCGCGGTGCTGTAATCCCAGCACATTGGGAGGCTGAGGCGGGCGGATCACAAGGTCAGGAGTTTGAGGCCAGCCTGGCCAACATGGTGAAACCCCATCTCAACTAAAAATAAACACACAAAAAAATTAGCCCGCCTGTAGTCCCAGCTACTCGGGAAGCTGAGGCAGGAGAATCACTTGAACCCAGGAGGCGGAAGTGCAGTGAGCCAAGATCCCACCACTGTACTCCATCCTGTGAGAAAGGGTGAGACTCCGTCTCAAAAAAAAACCCGAGTGAATAAAATAGAAAATCATATCATTTATATTTTATAACGTTACTGCATTTGTACCATGTGTTTTAGGTTCCACAAAGGCTCAATTAAGTTAACAGCAAGTCCTGATCTCAAATATATGAGCAATGTCTACACTTCTATTTATTTTAAAATTTTAAATTTACAGAAAATTGCTGAGATCTTACATAAAGTTTCATATACCCTTCAACTTTCCGTAATATTAACATCATACATAAACAAGAATATCTGTGAAAACTCAAAAAATTGATAAAGGTATATAGGACTATTAACTAAAGTACTGACTGTCTTCATATTTTACCTGGTTTTCCCCAATGCCATTTTTCTGTTTTTTGATCCAATTCAGGATAACATATTACATTTACCATCAAGTGTATTATTGTTTATTGCAGCATAGCCAATTACCATGTAGCTTAGTGGCTCAAAAGCATGCACACATTACTTACAGTTTCTCTGGGTCAGAAATCCAGATGTAGGTGATGGCCAAGGCTGAGGTTTCACCTGAAAGATGAGATGGGGATGCATCATCTTCCAAGCTCACATGATTGCCCAGGTTGAGAAGACTTCACTGGTGAATTACTCCAAACCTTTAAAATATCAATAGCAATTTTTCACTAACTGTTCTCCAAGAAGATAAAAACCATAGAGAAGAGACCAGTAAGCAATGCATTCTGTGAGACAGTTTCCTCTGATACCACAACTAGACAAAGACAGTCCAAAAAAGGAAAAATTTAAACCAATATACTTTATGGATACCCAGGCAATAATCCTCAAGGAAATAATTTCAACACAAATCAGGATTATGACACAGGGGTTATATGTTACACAAAGGTATTAATTTACTCAAGATTGCAAATTTGGTAAAACATATAAAAAGAATTATTGTAATACATTATATCAATATAATACATGATAAAGCCTCATTATCACCTCTAAGGATGCAGAATAAGCACTTGACAAATCCAAAATCCACTCACAGTAAAAACACTAAATGACTTTTTCATAGAATGAAATGTTCTTTACATAAAAATGTCATTTATGAAAAACTCACATAACAATAGTATCAAGAAAGTCTCAGTAATTTCTCGAAAATTACAAACATAAAAAGGTTATCTACTCCCACTAAAAATTATTCTTTAAGATTTAATTGATAAAACTAGCCTAGACAAATAAATTTAAGACTTCCAGATTGAGAAGGAAGAAATCAAAGTATCTCTATTTCCCAGTAAATAATCTAGTGTATAGAAAATCCTAAAGAATCCACTAAAATGAGATAGGAACCATTAAAAAAGTTCAGTAATCCTGTAGGATGCAAGATTCATGTAAAAAAATTGCACTCTTATACAATTGATATGGTTTGACTCTGTGTCCCCACCTAAATCTCATCTGGAATTGAAATCCCCCTGTGTTGGGGGAGGGGCTGAGTGGGAGGTGACTGGACCATGTGGATTGTTTCCCCCGTGCTGTTCTCAGGATAGTGAGTGAGTTCTCAAAAAAGCTGATGGTGTTTGGCAGTTTCCTCTTCACTCTCTTTCTCGCCACCTTGTGAAGAAGGTGCCTGCTTCCCCTTCACCTTCCGCCATGAGTATAAGTTTCCTAAGACCTCCCCAGCCATGTGGAACTGTGAGTCAATTAAACCTTTTTTCTTTATAAATTACCCAGTCTCATATAGTATCTTTACAGCAGTGGGAAACAAACTAATACAAAAATACAAACTAATCAAATAAAGAAACTAAAAAAAATTCATTTAACATGGCATCAAAAAGGAAATGTATTTGGAAATAAATTTAACGTAAGTTTGAGGCATGCAGATCATGAGGTCAGGAGTTCAACACCAGCCTGGCCAAAATAGTGAAACCCTGTTTCCACTAAAAAATACAAAAAATTAGCCAGGCATGGTGGTGGGCGCCTGTAATCCCAGCCACTCGGGAGGCTGAGGCAGGAGAATTGCTTGAACCTGGGAGGTAGAAGTTGCAGTGAGGTGAGATTGCACCACTGCACTCCAGCCTGGGCAACAGTGCAAGACTCTGTCTCAAAAAAAAAAAGTACAAGACTATATATACATGTACTGTAAATTACAAGTGATACTGAAGTATTAAAGAAATCCTGAATAAATGAAAAAAAAAACCTAGATTTTCCTTGATGAGAACGCTATTAGGTACTTACCAAGATGCTTATACTTTCCAAATGTATATGCAGATTCAATACAATCCCTACAAAAATTCTAGCTTTCATGTTTTCCATTTTTTTGTGATAACTGGACTGCAGGTTCTAAAATATACAGGAAAATGCATTTAATCCAGAACACCCAAAAGAATGTATAAAAATGTTTGAAGAAATACAAATGATATATATGGAACTTTTGCTCATAAGGAGATGGAGCATAATTCCCTACTTCCTACATATGTGTTGTTCATAATGACTTTTTTCCAAAAATACATCATGAAAACAGGAACAAATATTAATTTTGTAGTGGTAAACTTGAGCTAAACTGCCTCATGCAGGTGATCAAATAACGTTAACCATGATAAGGCAGCTGGGCATGGTAGACCACACCTGTAATTCCAGCACTTTGAGAGGCCAAAGTGAGAGGATCACTAGAGGCCAGGACTTCAACAAAAGGCTAGGCAACATAGGGAGACTACACCTATACAAAAGTAAAAAGTAAAAATAAATTAGCCTGGCATGGTGGCACATGCCTATAGTCCTAGACACTCAACAGGATGAGGTAGAAGAATCACTTGAGCCCAGGAGCTCAAGGCTGCCTTGAACTAGTATCATGCCACTGCACCCCAGCCGGGGCAACAGACAGAATGAGACCCTGTCTTATAAAAAAAAAGTTGGAGGGGGGCGGTGGGTGCGGTGGCTTACACCTCTAATCCCAGCACTTTGGGAAGCCAAGGCAGATAGTATCACGAGGTCAGGAGATCGAGAGACCATCCTGACTAACACGGTGAAACCCCATCTCTATTAAAAATACAAAAAATTAGCTGGGCGTGGTGGCGGGCACCTGTAGTCCCAGCTACTTGGGAGGCTGAAGCAGGAGAATGGCATGAACCTGGGAGGCAGAGCTTGCAGTGAGCCAACATCACGCTGCTGCACTCCAGCCTGGGCAAAAGAGTGAGACTCTGTCTTTAAAAAAAAAAAGAAGTTGCTAGTATATACTGAGTCATCACTCAGCCTGTACCCATCTCTAAGATCACGGCATGGAGGGTTGGGGGTATATCCTACGCTGCTTGTTCTTTTGTTTTTGTTCCTACTGAGCTTCCTTGACTTACACACAATGCACGTGTATCACTCCCTAACATTCACCTGAGAAAATCGTGATGTGTAAAAATTTATATCCAGGTTTCTGTAAGCAGGGACTGGCCTAAATCACCCTATTAGAAATATTTTTTGTACTCTGCTTACTACCTGCTAGCGTAGAAGCTTTAGGAATGCCAATTGGCAATATAATTCCACGATATGAGTGTCCACATAATGCATGGTCTCAAACAATTCCTGATGGAGTCTGTAGAGTTAAAAAGAAAAAAATATATATTAGTACAGGTTTCCTGAAAGGTTTAAAAGTACAGTTGTCTTTTGATTACTTGCAGAAGAAGTACAAGTACTTCTTGTACTTTCTTGGTACCCTTGTACCAAGAACATTATCCAGAAGGCAGAAATATGATTTATGCTCCCTGTCACTGAAATTTCTTATTCTTGGCTTCTAGTATCTCAGAGTCTATCTCCCAAAAAGGCTTCAGTGGGAGACTGCATATACACTGCTAAATGACGCCCACAGATGGGTCTTTCCGGGATATGTGAAGGAAAGGCAACTTTCTTTGAAAAAGGGGTTGCTGACATTCAAACTGGTGACTGCATAATGGGGACGGAGAAAGAGGATGACAGTCCCTGGAGCTTGATGGTGCCTTCCTGAAGCAGGTGCACCTGGGTTTAGAAAGGTGACTAGATAAGAAAAGCCAGTTTGCTATTCTCACCCTACATGCTATTGTGTCTCTGGAGGCCAAATTTTTGCCTTATGTCTTCATTTTATTTCTATAAAACAAATTAATAATTTTAAAAAACATTTACTTTGAAATAACTGCACATTAACATAAAGATGCACTGGTAGTACAGAGAGTTTTGTATAACCTTCAGCTAACTACAATGTTATTATCTATTATAACCATAATATAGTTTTAATGAAAACTAAGAATTTTAACTGTTTTTCAAAACCATCAGCTGATCTACAAACTTTCTTCCTATTTTACCGTGATTTCTGATAATGATGTATTTATCTATTCCACACCTAATCCAGAATGCCATCTTAAAATTACTGTCAGTTATATTACTTATTACTTGGTGCACAACAAATTACTATATACCTAAGTGGCTCAAAAAACACACACGTATTACTCACAGTTTCTTTGGGTCTTCAGTCCAGATGCAGGTGATGGCCCAGGCTGAGGCTCAGCTGGGGAAAGGTCTCCTTCCAAGCTCACGTGATTGTTCCTAGGATTTGCTTCCTTGCCCCAGTCAAGATAATTCATTAGTCAGTTATTGGAATCACTTAACAATTAATATTAATTTATAATAAGTTGTTAAAAACAACAACAACAAAGTGGAGAAGGCATCGCATTTCATTTATACTGTGAGTTGGTTTACCCTGATACCGCAACTAGACAAACAGATTTCAAATAATGAAAATTAAGAACACACCTTACGAATATAGAGCCAAAAATCATCAAGGAAATCCTAGTAAAACAAATCAGCAACATGTAAAAAGTATTATAAAATATGTCAAGGGTATTTACCTCAGGAAAGCAACATTTGGTTCAACATTCAAGTACAATTAATGCCATGCACTATATTAATATGATAAAAAACAAAACCACATAGTCATCTCAAAAGATGCAGCAACACCTGAGAATTCCTGAACTCACTATGATAAAAACATGCAGCAGGCCAGGCGCAGTGGCTCACACCTGTAATCCCAGCACTTTGGGAGGCCGAGATAGGCAGATCACGAGGTCAGGAGATCGAGACCATCCTGGCTAACACGGTGAAACTCTGTCTCGACTAAAAGTACCAAAAAAAAATTAGCCAGGCGTGGTGGCGGGCACCTGTAGTCCCAGCTACTCGGGAGGCTGAGGCAGTAGAATGGCGTGAACCCGGGAGGCAGAGCTTGTAGTGAGCCAAGATTGCGTCACTGCACTCCAGCCTGGGTGACAGAGCGAGACTCCTTCTCAAAAAACAAAAACAAAAACAAAAACAAAAAAAAACATGCAGCAAATAAGGCAGATAAGGGAAGTCAAACTCTTGTTTGCAAATGACATAATCTTATGTATAAAAAAATCCAAAGGACTCTAATAAAATATATTTAAACCTTAAAGATGAGTAACAAACTTACAGTATATACGGTCAACATATAAAATCCTTTGAATTTCTATACACTAGCAATTAACAACCTAAAAACAAAACTCAGAAAACCATTCCACTTGAGATGGCATCGAAAATAGGCATGTTTATCAAATTAAGTGTAAGACATGTACACAAAAACTAGAAAACATATTGAAGAAAATTAAATAAATAGAAAATATTTGAATGTTCATTGCTTAGAAGGATTAGTACTGTTAGGATGGCACTATTTTCCAAATAGATCTATAGATTGAATGCAACATCTACCAAAATCCCAGGTGATATTTCCTTCCCCTAAATTAACAAGGTTATTTTAAAGTTCATATGCAATGCAATAGACCCACAGCAGCCTAAATAATCTCGAATAAGAGGCAAAAGGTTGGAATTGTAGACATCTACTTCCTGATTTCAAAACTTAACTATTAATACAGTCCGGCACAGTGGCTCAATGCCTGTAATCCCAGCACTTTTGGAGGCTGAGGTGGGCAGAGCACTTGAGGTCAGGAGTTTGAGACCAGCCTGGCCAACATGATGAAACCCCATCTCTACTAAAAATCCAAAAATTGGGCATGGTGGCGCATGCCTGTAATTCCAGCTACTCGGGAGGCTGAGGCACGAGAATTGCTTGCGCAAGAATTGCTTGAACACAGGAGGTGGAGGTTGCAGTGAGCCAAGACTGCACCACTGCATTCCAGCCTGGGAGACACAGCAAGACTCTGTCCTGAAAAAAAGAAAAAAAAAGAAAAACTTACTGTTAATACAAAAGAATACAAATCAAGATTTATGGTACTTGTATAAGGATTTACATATTGATCAACAGAATAGAATATAATGGACAAAAATAAATCCTTACATTTATGAGGAAATAATATTAGCATGTGGTCAAATAAATTAGGTATGGAGTTTTTTTTTAATCAAATGTTTCTGAAAAACGCAGATATCCGTAGGCAGGTCGGACTCCTGCCTCACACCACAAACGTAATTGACTCAAAATAATCATACATCTAAATATAATAGCTAAACAGGCCCAAACCATACAAAAAACACAGAAATACATCTTTGCAATCTTAGGTGAAACAATGTTTTCTAAGATATGACACCGAAAACACAGGAAAAGAAGAAAAAATAGATGTACTGAACTTCATTACAATTAAAACATTTTGGGATTCAAAGAACACCATCAAAATTAGAAACCCAAGGAAAGAGAAAATGTATGTAAATTTTATACATAATAATGGTTTATTATTCAGAATATATGACTATCTTAAAACTTGAAAATAAAAAGGCAAATATACCAATCAAAAATTGAAAATTATTCGCATAGCCATTATTCCAAAAAATCTAGTCATACCCAAAAATGACATGAAAAGACACTCAATGCCTTTTGCCATTCTGAGGCGGGAGAACGGCATCACTTGTTTTCTGCTAGCAACCCTACTGACCAAAACAAGATCTGTTCCACACAGGATAAAGTGAAGAAACCAACAAAACCAGTAGATAGAGACAAAAGCGATCCTGGCCATCCTCATTAGCGTAAGACACTCCATCAGCACCATGACTGTTTACAAATTCCGCGGCAACAACCTGAAAGTTAACAGCCATTTCAATGGCAATGACCCATTAGTTACTGCCCATTCCCTAGAAAGTTCTAAATAACCCACCTCTCAATTTGTAATGATCCAACCCTCAATTTTCATGTAACTGAAAGCAGATTTACGTTAGTGTAAATACAGTTGTCAAGAGGCCATAGATTGCCAACTCTGGAGAGACTGCCTAAGAGTTAGCCCTGCTCTGCAAGGAGAAGTACCATAAAATAAAAAGATTTCTACCACCACTGGTTCACCCTTAAATTCTTTACTTGGCAAAGCCAATAACCCTCCAGGCGAAGCCCCAATTTTGGGTGTCACCTATCCTGCAAAAATTAGGGGAACTAAAATCTAAACAGACACGGGATTATACTTCAAATTCTAAAAAAAAATATTGCTAAATATTGCTAAGTGAAAAAATGTAAGTTGGTAAAGGCAAAATACTGTGCAATTTCATTTATATGACTCTATAGAAAAGGCAAAAGGATAGCAATAATTAAGAGTTTGGTGGTAACGAGCGGCTTGAAGGAGAAAAAGGTGGAATCAGTTAACTATCAAGACTTCTTTTGGACAGTGAAATTACTCTCTGATACTGTAATGCTGGATACCTAATTATGTTTTCCAAATCCTGAAGAGCTTTGTAACACAAAGAGTGTACCTAAGTTATGCAAATTAAAAACCTTATTTAGGAGGTAGAGGCTTTCCAGGGACGATGCCCACAATATAATATAACTATGTAATGAATATATGGAATAACCTCACCAAAGAAAATGGAAGAAAGCAGCTGACCTAGGTAAATATGTGGTCCCATGAATTAATGATGGAGTCTGCATGATGAAAACTGAATTATCAGTGTTTTCTCAAGGGCTTAAAGGTATCCTTCTCTTTTAAAACTTGAAAAAGAATGCCTGTACAAAGAAAACACTCCTAATGCAGACATATGATTCATGTTTCCCATCACTGAGCATTTCTCAATCTTGTCTTCTAATGTCTGGAAGTTCTGTCTTTTAATTTTTTAAATTTTTTTTTTTAAGACGGAGTCTCACTCTGTCACCAGGCTGGAGTCCAGTGGCATGATCTCAGCTCACTGCAACCTCCACCTCCTGGGTTCAAGTGATTCTCCTGCCTCAGCCTCCTGAGTAACTGGGACTACAGGCGCCAGCCACCATGCCGAGCTAATTTTTGTATTTTTAGTAGAGCCGGGGTTTCACCATGTTGGCCAGATGGTCTCGATCTCTTGACCTCATGAACCACCCACCTCGGCCTCCCAAAGTGCTGGGATTATAGGCGTGAGCCACCGCACCCGGCCTAAAATGTCTAAAATGTCTTTTCTGGGATCCTACAAACACACTGCCAGGAAGCACCTGAAAACAGGGCCTTCTAACCTATGTGAGAAAGTCACCTTTCTCTAAAAACGTGGTTACTGAGGCAAGAAATTGGTGACTGGGTAATGGGGAAGGTGATGGGAAAAAAGAAAATGGATGAGAGTCCCTAGAGCTTGATGGTGTCTTTCTCAAGCAGGTGCCCTATGTAGGAATGGGGGATAATGAGGCAAGCTACTTTGCCTTTCACTCTCTGCATCTCCACTCATCCTCTGATCTAAGGTTTCTTTGTGGTCTATGTCTGTTTTTTTTTAATAAATAATACATTTTAAGAAACATTTTTTATTTTGAAATAATTTTAGATTTACAGAAAGTTATGAAGATAGGTTTCATATATCCTAAAGCTTCCTGAAATGTTAACAGTTTATATCAACATATCTATGAAAGCTCAGAAATTTACAGTGATACAAAACTAACTAACTGAAATATAGACTTTCTTCACATTTTACCAAGTTTTTCAGTAATGTCATTTTTCTGTTCTAGGATCTAATCCAAGATACCACATTATGTTTACTGTCAGGCATATTACCTACTGATTGCTCTATAACAAAGTACTACACAGCAAAGAGGTTCAAACCTACCCATAAATACACATTACTTATAGTTTCTCCTGGTCAGATGACCCAGGGGGAGATTTCAAGGGAAGGCTCACCTGGGGAAGGATCACCTTCAAAGCTATTGTGATTGTTGTGAGGATCCAATTTCCGTCCAGGCCAAGATGACTTCACTGGTGAATTATTCCAAAGCTTTTGAGATTTAATAAAACAATGTTTTACTTATTTCTTCCAAGAAAAACAGAGGAGTAGAGAACCCTTCCCAATGCACTGTATGAAGCCAGTGTTCCCTGACACCACAACTAAACAAAGACATTTCGAGAAAGGAAAACTACAGACCAATATGAAACAGAGGCAAAAATTCTCAAAAAAAATACTATCAAAATAAACCAGTAACATATAAAAAGGATTACACACTATCGGCAAAAATACTGATTTCCTGGAGTGTAAGTTTGGTTAAACGTACAAAAACAATTGGTGTTATAAACTATACTAATAGAGTTTAAAAAACAAAAGCCTCATGGTCACCTCTAAAGAGGCGGAATAAGCATTTGACAAATCCCAAAACCATTCATGATAAGAGCTCTGGAAAAATTAGGCATAGAAGAAAACTTTCTAAACCAAAAACTGTATCTATGAAAAAGTCACATAACAACATAAACAAAGACATATAAGCCAACAGAACACAGTACTCCAAAATCAATCTTTAGGGCAAACTTATTTTCAAGGTTGAAAAATTAAAGATGGAAAAATATTTTCTCAACAAATGTTACTGGGAGAAGGTGATATCCACATGGAAGTTAAACTCTTTCCTGCACTACGTATGTGTCTAACTCAAAATAGAGCATGTGTCTAAATGTAGGAGCTAAAACTAAAAATCCCATAGATGAGAACATAGAAATACATTTTCATGGCCTTAGGTGAAACAATGGATTCTAACATGTGACACGAAAATACAAGTGAGAGGAAAAAAAAATAGATGCATTGAACTCCATGTGGATTAACACATTTTGTGATGCAAAATACACCATCAAGACAACCCAAATAATGGAAGAACATATTTCCAAGTCATATAGTTGTTAGGAGACTATTGTCCAGAATACATGAAACATTCTTTTTTTTTTTTTTTTTTTTTTTTTTGAGACTGAGGCTCGCTCCGTCACCAGGCTGGAGTGCAGTGGAGCATTCTCGGCTCACTGCAACCTCCACTTCCTGGGTTCAAGCAATTCTCCTGCCTCTGCCTCCCGAGTACCTGGGATTATAGGCTCGCGCCACCATGACCAGCTAATTTTTGTATTTTTTAAAGTAGAGACAGGATTTCACCATGTTGGTCAGGCTGGTCTCAATCTTGTGACCTCGTAATCCACCCGCCTTGGCCTCCCAAAGTGCTGGGATTACAGGCATGAGCCTCCGCACCTGAACACATGAAACATTCTTAAATGCAACATTAAAAAGACACCCAGCCTAATTAAAAGTAGGTAAATTGTATGAATGAATAGACATTTTTCCAAAAAGCTGTAGAAATGTCCAATAAACTCCCAAAAAGATGCTTAACATCTTTACTCCTCGGGGAAATACAAATCTAAGCTACCATAGGACACACTTCACAAATCTTAAAGGCATATTCATAAATGTTTGAAGAAATATTTAAAAGTCTATGCAATTTCAATATATGACACTGAGGAAAAGGTAAAATTATAAAGAATATAAAAATATGAGCTATTACTAAGGTCCTAGAAGAGAGAAAGTTTGATTAGGAGAAATACAAAAGATTATTTGTACATTAAAATTATTATCTGGGCCAGGCATGGTGGATCACCCCTGTAATCCCAGCACTTTGGGAGGTGAGGTGGGCAGATCACTTGAGCTCAAGAGTTTGAGACCAGCCTCGACAACATGGTGAAACTCCATCTCTATCAAAAATACAAAAATCACCCTGGCATGATCACGTGTGCCTGTGGTTCCAGCGCTGCAGGAGGCTGAAATGGGAGGATCAGTTCAGCCCAGGAGGCAGAGGTTGCAGACTGCCAAGGCCATGCCACTGCAATCCAGCCTGAGTGACAGAGTAAGACCACATCTCAAAAAAAAAAAAAAATTATGATGCTGTGATGGTGTTAATGATACCATTTTTTTAATCCTACAGAATTTCACGTCACAAAGAGCAAACCCAAATAATGTATGTAAATTGCTTTAAGAAAACAATAATTATTAAGTTGGGGGATCCCAGAGAGAAATTCAAACAAAGTAACATAACTATATAACCAAAGTATAGAATAACCTGAGTGAAAAGTATAAGAAAAAAAGGTTTACTGACCTAAGTAAGTTGATAAGATTCTATGTCCAAAAACCAAAATATTTAAACATAAACTCTGCACTTTAGTTGATGAAGTTATTGCCCCTGGGAGTATGGATTACCAATTCAGAAACTACAATACTTGTATTTTGGGACTCATGGTTACATAAACATGACTAACTTTCTCACACACTGAGAGGTAACATAAATGTAGTTGAATCGGGTACACTGATTCCTGTGGTACTGGATTATATCATGTGGTACTGGAGATATAGGTAGAAATTCATGTCTAACTTCATACAGACATATATAGAGAACTGTAGAACTATCTATACATATGCATTTGTAAATTGGTATAAACACACATCCCTTTACCCTCGTTAGCTGAGATAACCTAGAATCAACAGATCCTAAACACAAATGAGTGAAATCACTGCCCAGACCTTTGTTTCTAATATAATTACCAAAAAGTAACAGAGATTGCTTGAAAACCATGTTTAATACTATGCTCGAGAAGAACATCAACACAGTTAACCTGGAGAAACTCGTAGTGCCACCAAGAAAGAAAAAGTGAAACAATAATACAACCAAATATACGAACAAAATCAAAGTGTGATGATGCTAATATATCAAAACCATAAAGGAGTATATACAGACCTTCCAATGGCCAACACTAGAACAATTTTTAATAATATATTAGTACAATAAAATGTAAAACTAATATTATGACTTCATATTATAATTTATACGATATAAACAAATGATTGAACAAATAGATAATAAATTAAGAATAGACAAATTATCTTTGGTGAAGAAATACAAATGATTTAGAAGAAGATCTGCTTATGAGGAAGTAGAGCATGTTTTTCTACTTCTTTAGTATGTGTTGTGCATAGCAACTTCTTTTTAAAAAGTGCAACATCGGAAGAAGAAATATTTAAGTTTTATCCAGATGATCAAGTTAACATCAACAGCAATAAAGCATATTGTCATATATTCACTTGGTATAAAGTAATGAGAATGGCACTTTCCCTCTGTGGTCTTCCTCTCCAAAACCCACCAGTCGAGTCTAACCATGATTAACATCAGAAAAATTCTCCATGAGGGATGTTAATGTCATCAAAAACAGGGAAAGTCTGAGAAACTGGCCCAGGTAAAACCAGCCTAATTAGACACAATATATAAACGTTATATAGATCCCAAGTGGGATCCTGGAATAATAAATGGACATTAAGTGAAAGCTAACGATATACAAATAATGTGTGTTAATGAATGTGTAACGTTCATTTTGTTAACTGTGTAACGTTCCCTTTGTTAACTGTGACAAATATCCCACACTAAGAGATTAAAAATAAAGAAAATTGTGTTGGATATCAATAAACTCTCTGTACTGATTTCCAACTGTTCCATAAATCCAAAAGTATTCTAAAATAGAACAGTTTCTCTTTTTTCCCCAATTAACTCCTGAGCTTAATAAAAGAGAATACTATCAATATTGTTAATGTTCCTGAGTGCATTTCTCAAATTCTATTTTCTTCCTTAAACTGGTGAAGGTTACTATTATTTGTCTCTGTCATTTTTTTTAATTTTTCTATGTAAGTTGGCTTTGCTAATATACTATTCAGTTTTTTCATTTTTCCAACTTAGAGAAATGTAGTGCCTAAATTAATCCATAACTCCAGTCAAATTATGAGAAACTACTTGGACAAATCCATATCATGGTACATTGTACAAAATACCTGACTGGTTCTTTTTTTTTCCCCACAAGGACCAAGGTCAGCAAAATAAGTGAAGACTGAGAAACTACTTTAGATTGGGCAAGACCTGATGTGGTAGATAGGCCCTAAGATGGTAATTCCCACCTCCAGGGATACACAATCTGGTATTCTACTTTTCTCCTTATGAGTGTAAACAGGAGTTGTGACTTGCTTGCTAACAATTCAGTAATGCAGTTTTGGTACTTAAAATTGTGATTTCTGTCTTGCATACAAGCTCTCGCCCTTGATGACCAATATGAAATAATCTCCCTGTGAGAGAAGCCAACATGGGAAGGAACTAAATGCAGCCTCTGGTCAACAGCCAGCAAGGAACTGAGGCTCCTGGTCAAACAGCCTGCCCTAAAGTTTGCAGCTTACATTCATGACTATCCCAAGTCCCCTTTCAAATAGCAGTATATCACTTAAAAGGTAGTGTAAACACCTTATAACAGAATAATAATAATTATTGTATCCCATCATTTGTATCATTCTTGTCATTAATATCAATTGAATAAAGCATACTTGTATGTATATTCATGTACAGGTATATAAGTGTGACATACACATAAGAATACCTAATCATATGATGTTGCTATTATTGTATTTAACAATTTATTAAGTAGCAATTAAGCATATGAAAAAATAAAAGTTTTTACTCTAAACACTAAAAAACAAATTTTAAAAGTATGACTGATATGCTATTTAGGAGAACGAAATAATATAAAATGCCCAATTAAAACCACAAAAGGCAGAAAACAAGCAGATAACAAAAGTAAGAATAAAGGGCCACAACTAGAAGATATTAGCAAATATAAAAAATATTAATCCAACTATATCAAAATTCATGCTGAATGCCAAGGGTCTAACCTTACAAATTAACCCATTACCTGTTTGCCCCAAGAAATGAGCACTGGCAGCAAAGCTACACTTTTTTTTTTTTCTAAACAGGAAATTAGTTAAAAGATAAAATTGTCAGAGTGGATGAAAAAGCAAGGCACAACTGTATGTTATTCATAAAAAATCCATTTTAAATGATTACTTGAAACTAAAGTAATGAATGCAATAAAATATATCCTGCCAACACTAATTATAAAATATAAAATTATAAAAATAGCTGGTGTAACAACATTGTCAGACAGAGTAGATTCTGAATCAAGAAGATTATCAGGGATAACAAGCTGCTGCCCAGTCCTTGGTGGGAGTGGTTTATAGAGTAAAGGCCATACCCACTGTGTCATCTGAGCTTGCGCAGGAGGAGGCAGGGATGTTTGTACAGGTTCTTCCTATCACGGACTGTTGAAGATGGAATACAACTTTGGGGAATTCTTTGCTCCAGAAATCAAGAAAGAAAAGGAAGCGGTGGCCAGGCACGGTGGCTCACGCCTATAATCCCAGCACTTTGGGAGGCCAAGGCGGAAGGATCAGAAGGTCAGGAGATCGAGACCATCCTGGCTAAGACGGTGAAACCCCGTCTCTACTGAAAATACAAAAAATTAGCCGGGCGTGGTGGCACCCGCCTGTAGTCCCAGCTACTCGGGAGGCTGAGGCAGGAGAATGGCGTGAACCCGGGAGGCGGAGCTTGCAGTGAGCCGAGATTGCGCCACTGCCCTCCAGTCTGGGCGACAGAGCAAGAATTCATCTCCCAAAAAAAAAAAAAAAGGAGGCGGCATGACATTAAGTTTAATTCCCTAAGAATGAATCACCACCAAAAAACAATACCAGGAGTGATACTGAGGGCACTGCCCAATATCACCCAAGATTCACAAGAATATTAGAGACATAAGTGTGAATAACAATGTTTTAATGTTATAAATACACCTAAATTTCTTCAAGGTTAAACTGGGAATAGTGGTTAGATTCAAGACGTACGGATTTTATTTCTTCTCTCTCTTCATTAAAGAATAGCTAGATGATTAAAAATGGGCTCTGGGCCGGGCGCGGTGGCTCACGCCTGTAATCCCAGCACCTTGGGAAGCGGAGGAGGGCGGATCACGCGGTCAGGAGATCCAGACCATCCTGGCTAACAGAGTGAAACCCCGTCTCTACTAAAAATACAAAAAAATTACCCGGGTGTGGTGGCAGGCGCCTGTAGTCCCAGCTACTGGGGAGGCTGAGGCACGAGAATGGTGTGAACCCGGGAAGCAGAGCTGGCACTGAGCCGAGATCGCGCCACTGCACTCCAACCTGGGTGACAGAGCGAGACTCTGTCTCACACACACATGCGCGCGCGCGCACACACACACACACACACACACACACACACACACACACAAAGGGCTCTGGCCAGGCACGATGGCTCACGCCTGTAATCCCAGCACTTTGGGAGGTCAAAGTTGCAATGAGCTGAGATAGCGTCACTGCACTCCAGCCTAGCGACAGAGTGAGATTCTGTCTCAAAACAAAACCAAAAAATAAATAAATAAATAAATAACCCAGGGCTCTGGAGCAAAAATTTTGTGTTAAACGGAAATCTCTCACTAACTAAGACAATACGATATTTTCACAAAGATGAACAATGACAAAAGAAAACTCAAAATCAGACACTATGCATATTTAAGTAAATGAATAAATCCTATATAATTTTATAACACAAAGGATAAACATAAAAGTATACAAAAGGTAAACATAAAAGTATATAAACTAAAAACCTTATTTATCACCTTATTTATAAACTTTAAACTTATTTATCAACTAAAAACCTTATTTTGGCAAGTTAAAAAAATCAGCAAAAAAATGAATAATCCCATTAAAAAGTGGGCAAATGAACAGGTATCTTTCAAAAGATGACTTGTAAGTGATCAAAAACATACGAAAAAATGCTGAATGTCAGTATCAGGGAATGCAAATTAAAATCATAAGATATCACCTTACCCTAGTCAGAATGGCCATTATTCAACAGTCAATAAATAATAGCTATTGGTGAAGATAAGGTGAAAAGGGAATGTGCTTATACACCCTTGGTGGGAATGTAAATTAGTACAACCTGTATGGTAAACAGTATGAAGATTTCTCAATGAACTAAAAGCAGATCTAATATCCAATCCAGAAATCCCATTACTGGGTATACACTCGAATGAAAAGAAGTCAATATATCAAAAAGACATCTACACTTCTAGGTTAATCACAATAGATTTCACAACTGCAAAAATATTAAATGAATCTAAGTGCCCATCAACAAGCAGATAAAGTAAATGTGGTATATATGCATCACAAAATACATATATCACAAAATACATATATCACAAAATACATATATCACAAAATGAATATCACAAAATATATATCAATATATATCACAAAATATATATATCACTATACCACAAAATACTACTCAGCCATGTAAAAGAACAAAATAAAGTCTTTTGCAGCAATTTGGATGGAACTGGAGGCCATTATCCTAAGGGAAGTAACTCAGGAACAGAAAAACACTGCAGATTATCACTTATAAATGGGAGATAAGTTATGAATAAACATGTTTAATACTATGTTTTTCATAATATGGATAAACATGTTTAATACTATGCTTGAGAAGAAAATCAACACAGTTAACCTGGAGCAACTTGTAGTGCCACCAAGAAAGAAAAAGTGAATCAATAATACAACCAAATATACGAACAAAATCAAAGTGGGATCATGGACATTAGACTCAGAAAGGAGAAGGGTTAGCGGGGAGTGAGAAATGAAAAATCACCCATTGTGTCCGGAGTTGGTTCCTGCCTGTGGGTTCGTGGTCCCGCTGACTTCACAGCCGGGAACCCTCAGCAGTCGACCTTCGCAGTGAGTGTTATAGCTCTTAAAGATGGCACCGACTCAGCAGCGGACCTTCCCAGTGAGTGTTACAGCTCTTAAAGATGGCACGGACCCAAACAACAAGAGGTAGCAAGGTTAACAGTGAAGAGCAAAAACACAAAGCTTCCACACCCTCGAAAAGGACCGGACCAGCTTGCGGCTGCTGGGAGGAGGCCATTGTTTATTCCCGTATTGTCCCCTCCCATGTTCCGTTTCTGTCCTATCAGAGTGCCCTTTTTTCAATCCTCCCCACTATTGGCTACTTTTAGAATCCTGCTGATTGGTGCGTTTTACAGAGCACTGATTGGTGCATTTTACAGAGCGGTGATTGGTGCGTTTTACAAACCTCTTGCAAGACACAAAAGTTCCTGATTGGTGCATTTTACAATCCTCTTGTAAGAAAAGTTCCCCAAGTCCCCACTTGACCCAGGAAGTCCAGCTGGCTTCACCTCTCACTATGAGGTAAAATATACACTCTTCAGGTCACAGGTACACTAAAAACCCCAGACTTCACTACTATACAATTCATTCATGCAACCCAAAACCACTTATAATCCTAAACCTACAATTTTTTTTAAAAAGCAGTGGTGCATGATTCCCCCACTTTTAAGTGTGTGTTGTATATAGTGACTTTTTTTCATGCATACAACATGAAAAGGGGGGAAAGGAGTAATTTTTTTTTTTTTTTTTTTTTGAGACGGAGTCTCGCTCTGTCGCCCAGGCTGGAGTGCAGTGGCGGGATCTCGGCTCACTGCAAGCTCCGTCTCCCGGGTTCACGCCATTCTCCTGCCTCAGCCTCCCAAGTAGCTGGGACTACAGGCGCCCGCCACTACGCCCGGCTAATTTTTTGTATTTTTAGTAGAGACGGGGTTTCACCGTTTTAGCCGGGATGGTCTCGATCTCCTGACCTCGTGATCCGCCCGCCTCGGCCTCCCAAAGTGCTGGGATTACAGGCGTGAGCCACCACGCCCGGCCGGAGTAATTTTACAAAAGAGACTTGTTAGTAACTACCTCATCCAGGTTATCAAATTAACATCAACAGTGATTAAAGCCAGTTGATACCCTGTGCCCGGGATATTATGTGATGAGAATGGCACATTTCCTCTGTGATCTTCCTCCCCTAAACCCACAAATCCAGTCTCTTCATGAGAGAAACATCAGGGAAACCACAAATTAGAAATGTCAATCCCATCAAAAACAATAAAACTCTGAGATATTATCACATTCAGAAGATCCTAAAAATACATGATACCTAAATGTCATGAGGTATCCTGGATGAGATCCTAAAACGTAAACATAACATTAAGTGACAACTAAGAAATCTGAATAAAGTGTAGATGGTACTTAATGATAATCCATGATATTGGCTGGTTAATTTGACAAATGTCCCACACTAATGTACAAGGTAAATAATAAGGGACACTGTGTGTGGGGTATGTTGGAAACTCTTTAATATATTTGCAACTATTCTGTAAATGTAAAAGTATTCTTTTTAAAAAAAAGAAACGGTCCGGCGCGATGGCTCACGCCTGTAATCCCAGCATTTTGGGAGGCCGAGGCGGGTGGATCACCTGAGGTCGGGAGTTAGAGACCAGCCTGACCAACATGGAAAAACCCCGTCTCTACTAAAAATACAAATAAAATTAGCTGGGCATGGTGGTGCATACCTGTAATCCCAGCTACTCGGGAAGCTGAGGCAGGAGAAGCGCTTGAACCCAGGAGGCAGAGGTTGCAGTTAGCTGAGCTCGCGCCACTCTGCACACAGCCTGGGCGACAGGGCGAGACTCCATCTCAAAAAAAAAAAAAAAAAAAAAAACCTATTCTTTAAAAAGAGTTTTTTGTTTTGTTTTGTTTGTTTTGTTTTGTTTTTGTGAGACAGAGTCTCGCTCTCTCACTGAGCCTAGAGTGCAGTGGCCAATCTCGGCTCACTGCAAGCTCCGCCTCCTGGGTTCATGCCATTCTCCTGCCTCAGCCTCCCAGGTAGCTGGGACTACAGGCACCCGCTACCATGCCTGGCTAATTTTTTTGTATTTTTAGTAGAGACAGGGTTTCACTGTGTTAGCCAGGATGTCTCGATCTCCTGACCTCGTGATCCACCTGCCTCGACCCCCCAAAGTGAAAAAGTGTTTTCTTAAATGTCACTCCCAAGCTTAAGAAAAATAATCATTAGCAATATTGCTGATACCTCCTTTGTGCCATCTACTTAATTTCATAGTTTTCCTTAACCACTGAATTAAAACTATATTGTGAATTCGTTGTCATTTCCTATTTTAAAAATTATTCTCCTCTGAGTTTTTAAATCTGAATACTATATTGTTTAGGTCTTTTTTGTCTTCAAACTTAGGTGACTGTATTTAATTCCATCCATACTTACATTGTCATCATGATCACACAAAACCATATTGTAGGTAGGACATGCTATAAAATACCTGACTGGTACTTTTCAAAAGGGTCACTTTAAAAACAAGTGAAGACCAAGATACTGTTTCATATAGGAGAATATCTGATGTGTCAAGTAGATTCTAAGGTGGTGCCCAATTAGCCCCATCTTCTCCAATGCATAACCTTCTATTCTAATCCCATCCCGGTTAGTGTAAGCAGGAATTGTGACGTGCCTTGAAACAACAGAATAGTGCAAAGGTGGATAAATGTGACTTGGATTCTTATATACAATTATGATATTGGTTTTGCTAGAAATATCTCTTGCTTGATGGATTTTATGAAGCCATGTGAGAGAAGTCCCCTTGGCAAGGCACTTTATTCAGCCAATGGCCAATAGCCAGAAAAGTAATGGGCTTTTTATGCAATAGACTGTCCTACAGTTGGTAATATTATATTTAACACTGACTCATACTGCCCAAAGACATTTACAGATTCAATGCTATTCCTATCAAACTACAAATGACATTCTTTAAGAAGTAGAAAAAACTATTTTTTTTTTTGAGGCAGTCTCACTCTGTCACCCAGGCTGAAGTGCAGTGGTGCGATCTTGGCTCACAGCAAGATCCGCCGCCTGGATTCACACCATTCTCCTGCCTCAGCCTCCCGAGTATCTGGGACTACAGGCATGTGCCACCACACCTGGCTAATTTTTTGTATTTTTAGTAGAGATGGGGTATCAGCATGTTAGCCAGGATGGTCTCGATCTCCTGACCTCGTGATCTGCCCACATCGGCCTCCCAAAGTGCTGGGATTACAGGCATGAGCCACCGCAAGGCCCGGCCTAGAAGAAACTATTTTGAAATTCATATGAAATCACAAAAGAGCCCAGACAGACAATGCAATCCTAAGCAAAATGAACAAAGCCGGAAGTATCACATTGCCCGACTTCAAACTATACTACAGGGCTACAGTAAAAAAAAGAGAGCATTGTACTGGTACAAAGGTGAGCACAGACCAAGTGAACAGACTAGATAGCCCAGAAATAAGTCCACACACCTATGGCTATCTGATCTTTGACAAAGCAGACAAAAACAAGCAATGGGGAAAAGACTCCCTATTCAATAAATGGTGCTGGGAGTACTGGTTAGCCATATGCAGAAGATTGAAACTGGACCCCATCCTTATACCATATACAAAAATCAACCCAAGATGGATTAAAGACTTAAATGTAAAACCCAAAGCTATAAAAACCCTGTAAGACAACCTAGGCAATACCATTCTGGACATAGGAATGGGAAAATATTTCCTGAAAAAAACGCCAAAAGCAATTGCAACTGAAGGAAATACTCACAAAAGGGATCCAAATCAACTTAAGAGCTATACAACAAAAGAAACTATCAACAAGTAAACAGACAACCCACAGAATGGGAGAAAATAGAAAATATCTGCAAACTATGCATCTGACAAAGCTCTAATATTCAGCATCTATAAAGAACTTAAACAAATTTACAAGAGAAAAACAAACAACCCCATTAAAAAGTGGGCAAAGGACATGGACAACTTCTCAAAAGAAGACATACATGCGGCCAACAAGCATATGACAAAAAAGTTCAGCATCACTGATACAGAAACGCACATCAAAACCACAATGAGATACTATCTCACACCAGTCAGAATGGCTTTTATGAAAAAATTAAAAAGCATATAAAAAAAGCTCAATATCACTAACTAGAGAAATGCAAATCAAAACTACAATGAGATACTATCTCACACAAGTCAGAATGGCTTTTATTAAAAAGTCAAAAAACATATTTACAAAAGCTCAGTATCACAGATGATTAGAGAAATGCAAATCAAAACCACAATTAGATACTATGTTATACCAGTCAGAATGGTTTTTTATTAAAAAGTCCAAAAATGAAAGATGCTGATGAGGTTGCAGGAGAAAGGGATAACTTATACACTGTTGGTGGGAATATAAATTAGTTCAACCAGTGTGGAAAGCAGTACGGGGACTCCTCAGAGTTAAAATCAGAACAACCATTCAACCTGGCAATCCCATTACTAGGTATATACTCAGAAAAATATAAACCATTCTACATGCATGTGAATGTTCACTGCAGTACTATTCACAATAGTAAAGACATGGAATAAACCTAAATGCCCATCAATGACAGAAAAAAGAAAATGTGGTACATATACACCATGGAATACTATGTAGCCATAAAAAAGGAGATCATGTCTCTTCCACTCTTCCAGGAACATGGATGAAGCCTGAGGCTATTAGCAAACTAATACAGGAATAGAGAACTACTGCTATGTTCTTACTTAAAACTGTGAACTAAATGATGAGAAATCATGAACACAAAGAAGGTAACAACAGACATTGGGGCCTACCTCAGGGTGGAAGGTGGGAGGAGGGAGAGGAGCAGAAAAAAATAACTATTGGGTACTAGGCTTAGCACCTGCGTGATCAAATAATCTGTACAACTAAAATTGGCCTCAGTCCCATAGACAGTTATTTTTGGATAAACATGGAAATTGACCCTTCTGCTGTTAAACCTTGAAACTTGTATTTGTTTTATCTGAGTTCCCTCCCCAGGAAACAAACTTCAGGCCTCTCACAAAAAGGATCAAAGAACTGAAAGCAGACAATGACCCCAGACTTCACAGACCCTTCTTTCTTCATGATTACTTCCTTGCACCCTCCCTAGTTAGTGTTTTCTTACACAGTGTTACATTTCTTCCCTGCTACATAAACCCCTGGTTTTAGTCAGTCAGGGAGATAGATTGCAGACTGAGCTCCCATCCCCTTGACTGCAGCACCCAATTAAGGCCTTCTTCCTTGGCAATACTTTGTCCTCTCAGTAATTGGCTTTCTGTGCAGCCAGCAGCAGGACCTAGACCAAACCCCTGGTGTTTCAGTAACAAACAAACCCTGTGACACGGGTTTACCTAAGTAATGAACCTGCATGTGTATCCCCAAAGATAATTTTTTTAAAAAACCAAAATTATATTAAAAGATATCAAAATAATCAAAATTAAAAAATAAAACTAACCCAAGCTGCTTTTAAAATACAACTACACTGCTTCACAGGTACTGTATCTTATAACAACAAAACAATTCTAATTCCCTTCTTTCGTTAGTAAAGTTATCAAGAATAAAGAAAGGCATTACATAGAGATGAAGAGCCACTCTTCCAGTAAGATGTCATAATTCTTAAAGCCTATGAGCCTGACAACAGAGTGTAAACTATGTGAGACAGAAAGCAACAGAACCACAAGGAAAAAGATATGTATTCACTATTACAGTTGGAAACGTTATCATATGTCAAGTATGGGCAGATCTAGCAGGCAGCAATTCAGGAGGGAAAACCTGAACACAACAGCACCACCAAGCAACTGGGCATAACTGACACTTACAGCCTACTTCCCTCAACTACTGCAGATGACACATTCTTCTTAAGCTTGTATGGAATATTCAGCAAAATATATCACATTCTGGGACAAAAAAATACTCTAACAATTTAAAGAAAATGGAAATCATACAATGTCAGCTCCCAGACTACAGTGGAATTAAATCAGAAATCGCAGGATAACTGCAGCAACTGGAATATCACAAAATGCATAAAGATTAAACAACACACTTCCATATAACGTATGGGTCAAAGAAAACAACCAGACAGTTTTTTAATTTTTTAATTTTTCAACCTAAATGAAAATGAAAACACAATTTCTCAAAATTTGTGAGATGAAAGGAAAACAGAGCATATAGGGAAACGTATAGCACTGAACGCATACATAGGAAACAATGAAAGATCAAAAATCTGTCATCTGTTTCTAGCTTTGCAACTTAGAAAAAGAAGAATATATTAAATCCAAACTCAGTTAAAGAAAAGCTGTAAGGCTATTAACAGTAAAACAAAGTAAAAGTAAAAGCAACTGCATTTTTCACACAAATATTATCTTAGTTCTTAGAACACAGAGGCATCCAAAATTAACAGGGCAAACAAAGCATCCCAAACACCCCCCTTGCTTACGGGCATGCAGCCATGACCCTCTCAGAAATGACGACCCCACGCTTCAGAAATGATCAGTCTCAGGCTCCTGAGGCCGGGCACTTTCATTTGCTCCAAAGTCGTACTGAACATTTTAGAATTGCTAAATAACAGATTTTTAATATTCTCACCATAAAATATTGGTCAGCTGGTAAGCTGATGCATATGTTAATTAGCTTGATTAAATCTTCCACTATGAATATAAAAATCAAAACATCACATCATAATCCATAAATATACGCAATTGATGTCCATTAAAAATAAAAAGTTTGGGCCGGGCGCAGTGGCTCATGCCTGTAATCCCAGCACTCTGAGAGGCCGAGGCGGGCGGATCACAAGGTCAGGAGATCGAAATCATCCTGGCTAATACAGTGAAACCCCGTCTCTACTAAAAAATACAAAAAAAAAAAAAAAAAAAAAATTAGCCGGGCGTGGTGGTGGGCGCCTGTAGTCCCAGCTACTCCGGAGAGTGAGGCAGGAGAATGGAGTGAACCCAGGAGGCGGAGCTTGCAGTCAGACTAGATCGCGCCACTGCACCTCCAGCCTGGGCGACTGAGCGAGACTCCATCTTAAAATAAATAAATAAAAATAAATAAATAAATAAATAAATAAATAAATAAATAAATAAAACACTTTGGTAATTTTTTTTTTTTTTTTTTTTTTTGAGACGGAATCGGACTCTGTCGCCTAGGCTGGAGTGCAGTGGTGCAATCTTGGCTCACTGCAACCTCCGCCTCCCGGGTTAAAGCGATTCTCCTGCCTCAGCCTCCCGAGTAGTTGGGACTACAGGCACCCGCCACCATGCCCAGCTAATTTTTGTATTTTTAGTACAGACGAGGTTTCACCATCTTGGTCACGCTGGTCTCGAACTCCTGACCTCAGGCGATCCACCCGCCTCCGCCTTCCAAGTGCTGGGATTACAGGCGTGAGCCACCGTGCCCAGCCACTTTGGTAAGTTCTTTACGAATAATTCAAAAAGAAAAAACCTAGGTAAATAACTATTACTACGTCCATAATATAAAAGGGCACATGTGAGAGAAAGCACACAGTTTAAATGTACCTTAAGGTCTGGGAAACATGGAAAACTCCTGAGGTTTGTAGGAGAACAAACAGGGACGACGACACAGGCAGGCACCACCTCGGGAACAAGCGGAAGTTCGCAGAAAAGCGACCCTGAAAGCCCAATGCCTCTGACCCTGCAGAGAGCCGCCCTCAGTTCCCCTGTGGGCCTCGCCGCCCCCACATTCCAGTGTCAGCCTTGCCCTCTGCCCTCTGCCTTCTCTCTCCCTGTGGGCCTCCCCCCCAGCTCTTGGCGCCCACTCACTCCTGCTGTCTGCCTGCCGCCCTCACTCTGCCTGCCTCCCTCTGCAGTCCTCCCGCCGTCCTTCCTCAGCCCTCGCTTTCCTTGTAGGCCTGGGCCTCTCCGCTGCCCTCTGCCCTGTGCCCCCTGCCCCCTGTCCCCTGTCCCTTGCCCTCTGCCTGCGGCCCTCACTCCCCACCTCACTGTGCAGACTTGGGCACCACACATCCTGTCAGGCTGCTTCCAGCTTCCGGTAGAATAGAGGAAAGTATACAGAATACACAAGTATGTAAATAAAAACCATGTAAATAGAATAAAGTATTCAAAATTAATCGTTACAGTTACCGAAAAATGACTTTTCAAGGCTGCCAAGATAATTTAGTATGGAAAATATTTTCTGTAAAATTACTGGGACAAGTGGATATTGGCATGAAAGTTGACTCCTCCCTCACAAAATATACTTAACTGACTCAAAATAGATCATAGACTCATATGTATGAGCTGAAACTACAAATCCCATAGAATAGAACATAGAAATAAATCTTTGTGGCTTAGGTGAAACAATAGATTGACACCAAAATACATGCCGCAAAAGAAAAAAAAATAGATAAATTGAACTTCATTAGATTTTAAAACTTTTGTGATTCAAAGTACACCATAAGGATAACCCAAACATGGGAGAAATGTTTGCAAGTCATATAGCTGATAGGGGTCTGTTGTCGAGAATATAGAAAACATTGTTACAAAACAAAACAAAGAAAAGATCATAACTAAATATGAGTACATTGTGTGAACAGATATTTCTCCAAAGAAGCTACACAAATGTCCAAAAAGCACATGAAAATATCTTCCACACCTTTAGTACTTATTTATTAAAATGCAAATCTACATTATCAAGAGATAGATACACTTCCCAAATTTTTTTTTGAGACGGAGTTTTGCCCTTTTTGCCTGGGCTGGAGTACAATGGCATGATCTCAGCTCACTGCAATCTCTGCCTCCCGGGTTCAAGCAATTCTCCTGCCTCAGCCTCCCGAGTAGCTGGGATTACAGGCAAGCACCACCACACCCAGCTAATTTTGTATTTTCAAGAGATGAGGTTTCTCCATGTTGGTCAGGCTGGTCTCGAACTCCCAACCACAGGTGATCCACCCGCCTCGGCCTCCCAAAGTGCTCAGATTACAGGCATAAGCCACCGTGCCTGGCCCACAAATCTTAAAAGCATATTCTTAAGTGAAAGAAGCCAGTTTGAAAAAAGTACATACTGTGTAATTAATTACATTTATATGACATAGTGGACAAGGTGTAATTATAGTTAGGAAAAAGGTAAGTGATTAAAAGGGGCTTGAGGCCAGTAGCGGTGGCTCACGCCTGTAATCCCAGCACTTTGGGAGGCCAAGGCGGGCAGATCATCTGAAGTCAGGAGTTCGAGACCAGCCTTGCCAACATGGTCAAACCCCATCTCTACTAAAAATACAAAATTAGCCGGGTATGGTGGTGCATGCCTGTAATCCCAGCTACTCAGGAGGCTAAGGCAGGAGAATCGCTTGAACCCAGGAGGCAGAAGGTGCAGTGAGCCGAGATCATGCCACTGCACTCCAGCACTCCAGCACTCCAAGCCTGGGAAATAAGAGCAAAACTCCGTCTCAAAAAAAAAAAAAAAAAAAAAAAAGCGCTGGGTGCTTGAGAGAGAAAGGTTGAATAGGTGAAATAGAAACTTTGTATGTGTGCAGTGAAATAATTTTCTGTGATACTTCAATGGTATGTTAATTATACTATTTTACAAACCCCGTAGAATTTTACATCAAAAAGTATAAACCTACATAAATGTGAATTTTAAATGTCATTTAATAGGTTAGGAGATCCTATGGGGGAATGCAGTCAAAATAATATAAATGTGTAACAAATAAATGAAATAACCTCATGGAAGGAAGTGGGGGCAAAGGAGACCAAGCTAAGAAATTTAGAAAAATAGAAGTTCTTAGGCTAAATGTCAAAGTATTTGTTCATAAATACTCTACTTTAGTTGGAAATATTCTTTCCCATCGGGGTATGAATTACCAATTCTAAAAAAACTCTGCATGTATTTTGGGCTCTGAAATTACATAAAGTAGCCCAACCGTCTCACTGTTAACATGGGAGGTAACATACAAGTAGTGGGAATGGGGAGATTGATTCATGTGGTACTGAATTAGATCATGGGTGCTAGAAACAGGAAGAATTCATGCTTAACTTTACATAGATACATATGGAGAAATGTAGACCTACAAATACATATGTCAATATGAGTTACACACACACATACTTTGTCAGATGACAAAGCATAGAACTAGTAAGTCCCTAGTAGAAATGAGAACACTACTCCCCAGAGTTTTGTTTCTAATGCCACTCACCAAAAAAGGAACTAGGAATTTTTGGAGAAATGCTTAATGGTAGGGTTGGGCAGGGAATCAACACTATTAAGTTTAAGCACCTTGTAGTGCCAGAAAGTAAGAAAAAGTTAAACACCACAACCAACCACCCAACTACACAAACAAAATCAAACAGCAATGATGTGGGTATTTCAAAGTGGTAAAGTAGCAGCTGACTGAAAGACCTTCTAATGACCAACACTAGAGCAATTTGAGTAACACAATAAACTAGTACAATTACAGTGGAAATAAATATTTATTATTTGCATAATATTCCATATGTTCTAATTAAATTAATATAAAATAAATGCTGGAGAATAGGTAAATTGCCTATAGTAATGAAATACAAATTATATTTGTAGATGTCCTATCCCCAAGGAGGTAGAGCATAATTCTCCACTTGTGAAGTATGTGCTATGCATAGTAACAGTTTTCCAAAAAGTATGGCATGGAAAAGGGGAAGAAAGATTAATTTTAGAGTTGAGAAACTGACCTAAACTCCCTAATGTAGGTGATCAAATTAGTATCAATAGTTGATACAGCATTCTGATATAATGTCGTGAGTATCACACTTACCCCTATGGTCTTACTGTCCAAAACCCAGAACTCCTGTCTGACTGTAAGCGAAAAAAAAAATCACGGAAATCCCAAATGGAGGATGTCAATGTCATCAAAAACAAGGAAATTCAGAGAAACTGACAGAGACAAAGAAAGACTAAGGAGACATGATATCAAAATGTGATATGCTATCCTGGAAGAGTTCCTGGAACAGAAAATGGGCATTAAGTGAAAAAAGGAAAAAATAAATCTGGTTAATATGTGGATATGTGTATATCAGTGAATGAGAATGCATGTTAGTGTGTTAATTGTGACAGATGCCCCCCACTAATGTAAGAGGTTAATAATAATGGAAACTCTGTGTTGGCTATATATTAACTCTCTGTATTGACTATGCAACTGTTCTGTAAATCCAAAGCTAATGCAAAACAGAAGAGTTTTTTCCTCTCTTTCTAAATACTCTCTGCCAAGCTTGATAAACAGAATATTATCAATATTGTTAATGCCCTAAATGTTCATCTCCCCAATTCCACAGTCTTTCTTACCCCCATGAAGGTTACTATTATTTTCCATTTTCTTTTTATCATTCCCACTTTTTTCTATATTATTTTTATGGTTAAGTTTGTTTTTCTAAATAATATATTGTTCAGTTTGTATTGTCTTCCAATTTAAATAAATAAAGCTGTTCCAATTGATCTGTAGTTCTATTCAAATAACGAGAAACCATCAGATGAATCCACATTGTGATGCGTCCTACAAAATATTTGACCAGTTCTTTTCTGAAAAATAACTGAATACTGGGAAACTGCTGCACCTCAGAAAGGACCTGATATCGCAGGTACCCTAAGACGGTACCCAATGATCACCACCTGTTGGTTTACACGACCTTGTATTGTAATCATCTCCCTGTGAGATTGGGCACAAGATAAGATGTGATTTGCTTTGATACAATAGAATAATACAAGGAGATGGGATATCATATGGGTGATTATGTTACATAAAAGTGTGATTTTTTTTTTCTTGCTAGCAAGCTCTCTGCCTTGATGGCTTTGATGGCTCATTCTGCCATAAGGCAGAAGCCAACATGGGAAGGAACTGAATGCAGCCTCTGGTCAACAGCCAGCAAGGAACTGAGGCTCTGGACCAACAGCCTGCCCTAGAGTTTGCAATTTACACTTCCAAATAATCCAAGCCCCCTTTCAAATAACAGCCTATCACTTGACAGAAAGTGTGAACACCTTATTATACCAGAATAATCCTAATTCTTTTCTCTTATCCCTTGTATCATTGCAGTCATTCATTTCACTTACATAGAATACACATGTGTGTGTATATATATATTAATTTATGTATGACACATACTTAAGCATACTTATTTAAATACATTGGTACTACTACTATTTTTAACAGACTGTTATTTGTTAGATCAATTAAGAATATGAAAAATAAAAGTTTTTATTGCCTAGTTTAACCACTAAACAAAGTTTTAAAAATGTATGGCTGAAATGCTAAGAAAGGAGAGAAGATGAATTTATATAAAATGTTCATCTAGGCTAGGCGTGGTGGCTCACACCTGTAATCCCAGCAGTTTGGGAGGCCAAGGCGGGTGGATCACAAGGTCAGGAGTTCAAGACCAGCCTGATCAATATGGTGAAACCCCGTCTCTACTCAAAAATACAAAAATTAGCCAGGCGTGGTGGTATGCGCCTGTAGTACCAGCTACTCAGGAGGTTGAGGCAGGAGAATCGCTTGAACCCAGGAGGCGGAGGTTGCAGTGAGCCAAGATCTTGCCACTGCACTCCAGCCTGGGAGACAGAGCGAGACTCCGTCTCAAAAAACAAACAAACAAACAAACAAACAAACAAACAAAAAAGCTAATCCAAACAACACAAGGTAGAAAATGAGTGAAATACAAAAAATAGGAACAAAAGCAAATAAACAACTGGAAGATAGTGACAAGTTTCATAGATTTTTAATCAGCTATATCAATGATTTGAATGTCAATGTTCTAAATGCAGTAGATAAAAGACTGAGTGAATCAAAAAGACCCAAGTATATGTTGTCTATATGAAACTCACTTTAAATATGAAGACCTATATGACCTAAAAGTGAGTGGGTACAACAAATATAACATGATTACAAAAATCAAAGGAAGCAGGTGTACCTATATTAGTTTCCAAAGTCAAACATATGTGGGTAATTTCATTCATTTACTAAGATAGCAAATCATTTAAGTACAAATAATCCACCAGTAAAAAACTTCTACAGTTAACAATTAGTACAAATATAATTTAAAAGGGGACATGTGATGAAAGAATAAATTTATGTAACATGTTACAATCTGAGAGACACAGAAACATCACCAGGACATGCAGTCACAGGTGTGTGAACATGTGTATGTCCAAGGAGAAACATCTCTCCTGGATCATTACCCAGTGCCTCCACGGTCTGCCCTTCCAGCTCCTGCCTCCTCACGTATTTCTCATCTCAGCTGTCCTTTCAATCCACTGTCCTCTTCTCATGGGCTAGCCTGTGCCACAGACACAGTTTCCTCTTCCCTTTCCCTCCCCTGTTTGCTGAACTCACTACTCCTTACTCTCCAGAATCTCCTCCAACGCTCCTCCTCCTGGAGGCCTCCCTTGCCCATCCCATCCCAGGCCTGAAACTTGTCCTCTGGGCTCCCAAGGGCAGTTCCTCCACCTACAGTTTAGTTTCTGTTAAGTTTTCTCAGTGCCCACTGAACTGAAATATCACAGAAGAGGGAAACTTTGTCTATGTTGTTCCCCTATGAGCCCCACACATGTTAATAGAGCAACACACAGATTCTGCTTTATATTGAATTCTACAAATAAATTTACAAATCTAACTCCTCACCTATATTCTTGTCTTCTTCCCAATAAATTTCAAGTCTTTCTATCTGAAAATGATTTGAACTTGAAGATAAAGCTGGTTTTTGTTGTTGTTGTTGTTGTCCCTTCTGTTCTCAGGACAGAATCTGAATCCTAATTCCCCCTTAGCCTCTTCTCCAGCCTCCCCAACCTCAATACACTGCAGAGCTCCTCTCACTGACCTGCCTGCTTCTACCTCATCTACTTGCTCCTCTTCTGTCCTAACCACAGTTCTGCCCTCTGAGACTGAGAAAAATATTGTTCACCTCTATTAGCTCTGTTAATATGGCTCCTTTGATAAATATTTCCAAATCTTTATTGGCGACTACATCTCACCTTTTTTTTTTTTTTTTTTTTTGAGACGGAGTTTCACTCTTGTTGCCCAGGCTAGAGTGCAATGGCGTGATCTCAACTCACCACAACCTCTGCCTCCCAGGTTCAAGCGATTCTCCTACCTCAGCCTCCCGGGTAGCTGGGATTACAGGCATGCACCACCATGCCTGGCTAATTTTGTATTTTTATTAGACGCGGTTTCTCCATGTTGGCCAGGCTGGTCTTGAACTCCTGACCTCAGATGATCCGCCCACCGCGGCCTCCCAAAGTGCTGAGATTACAGGCGTGAGCCACTGTGCCAGGCCACATTTCACCAATTCTTAACTTTTCTTTAATGTCACAAATGCCAGTTCCTGTCTGCCTTCCTCACTGTGCTGGACTCACATTTGTCCTCACTCACCTTCACATGGCCAAGTAGAACCACTTAACTGGGGAAGAATCATGTATGAGTAATTCCAGAAAAAATGAAACAAGATGTGGAACAACTGATAGAGATTAGACATGGCTTGCCACATGTAAAAACAAACAAACCAAAAAACTGGATGAATTACATGTGAAAATGGATTCCAGACACTACACATCCATCAGTGAAGAATGGCGATAAGTGAGAAATTTGAAAAATGGTCTGAGACCTACTATTGAGTAAGGATACTGCTTTAGGAGTTCCCAGGCTGTGCTGTAGCATAAACTGTGGAAGGCACACTGAGTTGACAAGAGGGAACATAGAGTCTGGAGAACACAGTGGCTGAATTTTGTCAAGCCATTTTCCACATCTAATGGTAAAGATGTGAGACAGCATAGATGCCAACATCCATACTGACAGGGCTGTGGTGTCATCATTACTACACTAAAACATGGTGAACAGAACTACAGGAGTAGCAAATAAATAAAAGGCAAAGGCACAACCAAGTAATTTGAATGAACTTGGCCTTCACCTTTTCATCTTATTCCTGAACGGAAAACAACAGGTTGTTCATGGCTGTGATCTTGCACCAAGCTTGAGGATGAAGGGATGGCCTTAGAAATGACGTAAACGATGTATTTAAGTACATGAACCACCCCATGTGAACACTAACCTGCCTCTTTGTTTTTTGTTTTTTTCTTTTTTTTTTTTTTTTTGAGACGGAGTCTCGCTCTGTCCCAGGCTGGAGTGCAGCGGTGCGATCTCGGCTCACTGCAAGCTCCGCCTCCCAGGTTCATGCCATTCTCCTGCCTCAGCCTCCTGAGTAGCTGGGACCACAGGCACCCACAACCACGCCTGGCTAATTTTGTTTTTGTATTTTTAGCAGAGACGGGGTTTCAACGTGTTAGCCAGGATGGTCTCAATCTCCTGACCTTGTGATCTGCATGCCTCGGCCTCGCAAAGTGCTAGGTGACATGAGCCACTGTGCCCGGCCCACTAACCTGCCTTTTCTATGTTATCCTGTTAGTTGTGGCTGATAAACTCATTACATTATGAAATAACTAAAGTAGAGGCAAGGTGTGGTGGCTCTCGTCTGTAATCTCAGGACTTTTGGGGGTGTACCATTTGCATCCAGGGGTTCAAGACCAGTGTGGGAAACAAGGTAAGACCCCATTTCTACAAAACATCTAAAATTAGTTAGGCGTCATGGTATGCATCTGTAGTCCAGATGCTCAGGATCCTGATGCAGCAGGACTGCTTGAATACTGGGAGGTCGAGGCTGCAGTGAGCTATGATCATGCTACTGAACTCACCCTGGGTGACAGAATGAGACCTTGTATCAAAAAAAAAAAAAAAAAAAAGACAGTAAAGCTTTCTATTTAAAAGAGCAGAACAAAATTATCACCAAAAGAAGAAGAAACCAATGAAACTTTTTCTATTTGTTTCCCTAGAAATTCTCATTGTTTTTAAATTTGAGAAATAGTTTTCCTTTCTTCTTCACTACATAAACACCACTTTCTATCTGGTTTGCATGAAATATCAGGCTGTTCTTTATAGTCAGTGAAATTAAGTCAAATGATGACACACTGTAATAAAATAGATGGGTACTTTTTCTTCTTTTTACCAAAATCGGTCACCGAAATTATCTGTGTACACTATTGGAGCTCAAAGACTGACTGCTGTCATACCTGAGAAAACAAATGTCCATCTACCAATTTAGAACAAAAGCACCCATAAAACATGGGTAAAAGTACCCATAAAATAGCATTCTTCTTGCTCTGATGGTGCTCACATCTAGTATATCTTTATCAAATGATCTTAATCCTCCCACATATATATAAACTGAGCTTTTCAAAAAGAGTTCAACTATTTTCAGTTTCTATACATGTGGATCTTTGTCTGACGTAATTCTTGATTTCGTGAGATGAAACATAGGCAAAATACATTAAAGTTTTTCTCCTAAAATTTCTCTCACTGAGGCAAAACTTATCTGAATCACTTTTAAACCCATCTTGCCAATAACTAACCCCATATCATCTGTACTAATCAAAAGCACTGATGATGCTGCATTTCTGATGGGATTCCTATGCTACTCTCTGTGAGATTATCTTTCCAACCTCCTGACATCCCTTCTGCAAGTTTTGATGATGATATTACCTGAAGATATCAATGGGAAGTTTTTAGACCAAGTTCATGTCAGTGTCCATGAGGACAATCTCATTATGACTGTCTTCCGGCCAACAGTGTTTCAACACTATCAGATTCAAGATGCCTTTCTGTGAAGAGATGTGACTGGGTGCACCACAGCGTGAATGAAATACATTAGTTTTCCCTGAGACTGCCCGCTTCTCAGTGTTAAATCATCATGGTTGTGTTCCTGTCTGTTTTAAGTGCAAAGAACTTTTTAAAAACTACCATTCGGCCAGGCGCAGTGGCTCACGCCTGTAATCCCAGCACTTTGGGAGGCTGAGGCGGGCGGATCACAAGGTCAGGACATCGAGACCATCCTGGCTAACATAGTGAAACCCTGTCTCTACTAAAAATACAAAAAAATTAGCCGGGCGTGGCGGGCACCTGTAGTCCCAGCTACTAGGGAGGCTGAGGCAGGGGAATGGCATGAACCCGGGAGGCAGAGCTTGCAGTGAGCTGAGATCGCGCCACTGCACTCCAGCCTGGGTGAAAGAGCGAGACTCTGTCTCAAAGAAAAAAAAATTAAAAAAAATAAAAACTATCATTCAAAAAATCAATTAAGGAGGAAGACACAATTGTAAAGAGCTACTAGAAGCTTTCCTTGAAGTGTTAGCTTTTTAAAGACTTATTGAGTACACATGGCACAAAGATGGGAACAATAGACACCAGGGCCTACCTGACAGCAAGGGTGGGAGGAGGGTGATGGTCAAAAAACTAAACTACCTATCGAGTATTACGCTGACTACTTTAGTGATGAAATCATTTGTACACTAGACCCTAGTGACATGCAATTTATTCAGGTAACAAACCTACACGTGTATTCCTGAAACTAAAATAAAAGTTGAAGAAAAGAAAAAATACTTAGAAAAAGCTTTAAATTGATAATTCCTGCCTTTATTTTAGGAATACGAGTAACAGTCTTTGTAAGCTTCATTCTAAACTCAATTCTCCAACCTATAATATTTGTGTGTGTCTCTATATCCTCATTTCCATTTATGTTTTTAATCATGAGGCTGATGAACCTGCAAGTCACCTCATGATGACCCACTGCAGATGTGGATGCTTCGTGGTCCTTGTTAAACCCTTTGATATGTCCCCTGGCTACTTTGTTCAACTCTACTTTGAGGTACTTGGATATTGGAATTGGTTTTCCCATTTCCTCGTGAATGTATCGAGTAAAGAAGAAACTCATATAGTTCATGATTCAGAATTATGACTAAAATTTTACCCAGAGTTTTAGGCTCCAGGAAGACTGAATTAAGTGAACATCAAGTTATGATCTCAAAGATAGGAGCCATTCATTCATTGAACTCTAACTTCTAATCAGGGTAGGGTGTGCAGAGTGTTGGGCATTTGCCTCACGATGTGGTGTAAGAGTTTGGCCTGTGTGCAATGACGTCTTTTGAAAACTGCTGTGGCCAGGCCCATCTGTGTGAAATCTGGTGGTTTAGTATACTGTGGCAAATCATATCTTCCATGCTGTCGGAAGTTTTGTTTGGGGACTTGGTGCACCACACTGTATCATGTAACTTCATGTCAGTACACTTTTGCATCTGTTTGCTTTTTCCTGTTAAGTCTGAGCTCTCACACCTGATTGATTTTGATTTTCCAGTTTGAGGGACCACTCCTTGTCCAGATCTCTTGTGTCTCATTTATGGCCTTCCACTCTGGTCTTTTTGTTGTTGATCCATACTTCAGTAAGGTAGAGTGTTGACAGTATATACATCATGACAGATTATTATTATTATTTTTATTTATTTATTTATTTATTTTTGAGACAGAGTCTTGCTCTGTCGCCCAGGCTGGAGTGCAATGGCACTATCTCAGCTCACTGCAACTGCCACCTCCTGGGTTCAAGTGATTCTCCTGCCTCAGGATTACAGGCAGGTGCCACCATACCCGGCTAATTTTGTATTTTTAGTAGCAATGAGGTTTCTCCACGTTGGTCAGGCTGGCCTCAAACTCCCAACCTCAGGTGATCTGCCTGTCTGGGCCTCCCAATGTGCTGGGATTACAGGCATGAGCCACTGTGCCCGGCCAGATTTTAAAATATGCATTGAAGCGAAGAGTAAAAGGAGATTTCACAAGTCATTAAAGTATTAATATATATCCACTTAAAATAAATAATCCTCCATGTGTTGAGATGTGAAGTATTAATGAGGCCTTTTATATCTCAAAGAGTAAAGTATATGAGATTGGAGAAGTTAAGGATTTTCACAAATACAAATACTCAAATAACAGCGCCTAAATAACAGTTCTTATTATCTTGATCTCAGACATGAGAAATGTGGTTCAGGTCAGCTGTATCTCTCACTCCAGACTCTAAGCTGTGAACTACTTTTCTCACTGACGCTACTGATTTGATGTGGAGAATATAACACATGATTATAGACTTTAAAAGGAATTATGCTAATCTTATGGATCTCTATGGAGTGCAGTACGCATTCACACGGCTTTGTAGGCTTTTTAGGTATGTTTCCTGGACATTACCCTTGTGCTGCCAATCAGATTGCTGTGGTCTGTGAATTGGGAGCTGTTGGTGGCAGGTCAGTGGACAGTCCTCTCTGCAGTGGGATTCTTTCTTTAGCCAGCACATATGCACAATCCTCATTCAGCCTGTTTCCATCTCTTGGATCATGGCATGGAGGGTTGAGCATATGTTGTATATGGCTTGTTCTTTTGCTTTTTCTATCTCGTTTTCTCCACTTACATACAACACATCTGTATTAGTCTCCTTTCACACTGCTATAAAGACATACCTGAGACTGGGTAATTTATTTTAAAAAAAAAGAGGTTTAACTGACTCATAGTTCCACATAGCTGGGGAGGCCTCCAGAAACTTACAATCAAAGCGGAAGGGGAAGCAGGTACATCTTACATGGTGGCAGGCGAGTGAGGCAGGGAGGGGGAGGGAGAGAAGGAGAAAGAGAGAGAGAAAGAGAGAGAGTGCACAAGCAAGAAAGCGAGAGAGACAGAGAGAGAGAGTGCACAAGCAAGTGTGTGTCAGTGAAGGAAAAACTGCTGGTTATAAAACCATCAAATCTCTCGAGAATTCACTATCATGAGAACAGCATGGGGGAATCACCCACATAATCCAATCATTTCCCACCAGGTCTCTCCCTAAACACCTGAGGATTGCAATTCAAGATGAGATTTGGGTAGGGACACAAAGCCTGATCATACCAACATCTGACTTCACCTGCCAAAAACTTTGTGTACGGAGATTCATATGTAGGTCTTTGTAAGCAGGGACTGGCCTAAAGTAGCATATTTATAAACTTATTTTTTGTAGCCAGCTCACCTGCGACCATGATATCTACTTTGTGGCTTTTGGGTTTGGCAAGGGACAATACAATTCTATGATATCAATGTCAATAGGCTACAGGGTTCCAAATAATTCATGATTCAGTCTGTAAAGTGAAAATAACAATTTTCACAGAGTTTTCTCAAAGACTTGAAGGAATATCTGTCTTTTGAGCAAGTAAACAAAAAATACTTGTACATAGAAAAAACACTCTCCTAAATTCAGAAATACAGTTTATATCTCCTATCACTGACTTTTTTTTTTTCCGAGACGGAGTCTCGCTCTGTTGCCCAGGCTGGAGTGCAGTGGTGCGATCTTGGCTCACTGCAAGCTCTGCCTCCCAGGTTCACATCATTCTCCTGCCTCAGCCTCCTGAGTAGCTGGGACTACAGGCGCCCGCCACCATGCCTGGCTAATTTTTTGTATTTTTAGTAGAGACGAGGTTTCACCGTGTTAGCCAGGATGGCCTCAATCTCCTGACCTCATGATCTGCCCACCTCGGCCTCCCAAAGTGCTGGGATTATGGGTGTGAGCCACCACACTCAGCCACTGACATTTCTTAATACTGGATTTTAATATCCTGCAGTCATGTCTTTCAATAAGTTTTTAGTGGATCCTGCAGATTCACTTCAAAATAGAGTCTGAAAGTAGGCTTTCTGGAATATGTATGTGAGGCACAAGCACCTGTCTTTGAAGATGTGGTTACTGACACTCAAATTGGTGAGTGGGGAGTAGGCAGTCTGATGGCAATGAAGAAAGATGACTAGAGTCCCTGGAGCTCGAAGTTCTCTTCCTGAAGCAACCTGTGTTCAGAATGATGGGATGCTCTTCCCTCCCTACACATTCATTCATTTCCTGTGCATGAGGTTATTGTTTCTGATTTGTTTTCTTTGTGCCAAAATAATATCTACACATTTTACTATTTGAAACAATTTTAGATATACAGAAATATTCATAGATAGTACAGAGAGTTTTATACATCTTTCAGATATCTGGAATGATAACATCTAATGTAACCATAGTATATATAGGAAAACAAAGAAGTTGTACGTGGTACTAAAATTTTAACTGAAGTACAGGCTTCTATATTTTACTAGGCTTTGCAGTAATGTCATTCTTTGGTTCTAGGATCTAATCCAGGATGCCACATTACATTTACTATCTGGTGTACTACTTATTAGTTTCTGCATAACAAATTACCACATAATTAGTGCCTCAAAACCACACACATATTACTCACAGTTTCTCTGGGCCAGGAATCCAGATTAGATGATGGCCAGGGCTGGGCTCT
Organism: Homo sapiens; assembly: GCF_000001405.40. Taxonomy (NCBI): domain Eukaryota; kingdom Metazoa; phylum Chordata; class Mammalia; order Primates; family Hominidae; genus Homo; species Homo sapiens. The sequence goes on along the minus strand of NC_000015.10, from coordinate 23,941,778 downwards.
CAACTGAAGGCTCACTTGGAAAAGGATCCCCTTCCAAGCTCATGTGTTTGTTGTTAGGATTCACTGGTGCATATGTCTAAACCTTTTAAAAAATTAATACCAAACTATTACCAATAGTTCAAAAAAATTAAAAATGACACAAATAAAGAGGAGAAGACAGCACTTCGCAATGCATTTTATGAGACAGTTTACCCTGATCTCAAACAGAAATGTAACAAAGATATTTCAAGAGAACATTATAAATGGATATTATGAATATAGATGTTAAATATGAGCAAAACAAATCAGTAACATGTAAAAAGAATTATACAGTATGACCAAGGATGTTTATATATCAGTAATGCAAACTTGGTTCAACAACAAAATAAATTAGTATTCATGCACTATATTAGTAAAATAAAGGACAAAATCCACATGATTATCTCAAAAATGAAGACTAAACACTTGCTCAATGCCAAATCAACTGATGATAAAAACATGTAGCAGGTTAGGCATAGAAGGGAACTTTCTTCACCTTAAAGACAACCATGAATAACTCACATAACATCATAATTTACTTGAAAGTTGTCCACTCTTGCCACTTCTATTTTTAACATTTTACTGGAAGGTATAGTAAGGACAAATAGGCTAGAAAAATAAATACGAATAATCTGATTTGGAAAGAAAGTCAACGATGCAAATGACATGGTCTTGAGAATGGAAAATTCTAGGAATTTTAATGAAATATAATTAGAAATAAAAAATGAGTTCATCAAGGTTGCAGTAAACAAGGTCAAAATAGAGAAATAAATTTCATTTATACACACTAGCAACTGTTAGATATGTACATTGAAAACTATAAAACTTATTCAACAAAAACAATTACATCCTAAATAAATGAAAAGGCCTTTTTTATTCACTGATTGAACGGCTTAATATTGCTAAGATAGCACTATTTTCCAAATGGATCTACAGATTTAATGCAGTCCCCATCGAAATTCCAGATGAAATTTTGCTTAAATTTGAATGTTGATTATAAAACTGGTATGTAAATGGAATAGATCCAGAACAAAGAAATTAATCTGCATAGTAAATGCACACTTCCTGATTACAAAATGACTACAAGGCAATAGTAATAAAGTTTTGTGGTACTGGCTGGGTGCAGTGGCTTGTGCCTGTAATCACAGCTACTCAGGAGGCTGAGGCAGGAGGATTGCTTGAGGCCAAGAGTTTGAGATCAGCCTGTGCAACACAGCGAGATCTTTTTCTACAAAAAAGTTTTTGGCCAGGTGCAGTGGCTCATGCCTGTAATCCCAACAGTTTGGGAGGCCGAGGAGGGCAGATCACCTGAGATCAGCAGTTCGAGACCAGCCTGGCCAACGTGGTGAAACCCCATCTCTACTAAAAATGCAAAATTAGCCAGGTGTAGTGGTGCATGCCTATACTCCCAGCTACTTGGGAGGCTGAGGCACGAGAATCACTTGAACCCAGGTGGCGGAGGTTGCAGTGAGCCGAGATCATGCCACTGCACTCCAGCCTGGGTGACAGAGCAAGAATCTGTCTCAAAAAAAAAATAAATAAAAGTTTTAAAAAACTTAGCCAGGCTTGGTGGCCCACATGAGTAGTTCTTCATACTCAGGAGGCCGAGGTGGGAGGATCTCTTGAGCCCAGGAATTGGAGGCTGCAGTGAGGCATGATCATGCCACTGTACTGTGGCCTGGGTGAGACAGCAAGACCCTGTCCCAAAACAAAAAGAAAAAAGTAAAAGAAAAAAAAAAGATTTGTGGAACTAGTATAAAGATAGACATATATACATCAATACAATAAAATTGAGTGTCCAAAAATTAACACTTACCTGCAAGATCAACTGATTTTCAAGTTTGCCAAGCAATTCAATAAGAAAAATAAATAAATATTTTTTAACAAATGTTGCTGGGACAAGTGGATATCTACATGCAAGTTGAACTCCTCTCTCACACCATATACATGACTGATTCGAATTAATCATATATCTAAATATAAGTGCTAGATAGGCCAAAACCATAGACGATAACATAGAAATACGTTTCAATGACATTAGATTATTAAACAATGTTTTCGAAGATGTGACAGATAATGCATAAGTAACAAAATAAAAAAGAGATATATTGGTCTTCATCAGAATTAAAATCTTCTGTGATTCAAAGTGCATCATCAAAAAGTAAAAAGAAAAACCAAAGAAGGGAGAAAATTTTTGCTAGCCACATAAGGATCTAATATTCAGTATATATAAAACATGTTTTAACTCAATAATAAAAAGGCAAATATCTAAGTAAAATGGCCAATTACTTAAATGTACATTTCTCCAAAAATGCTATAATTATAACCAAGAAAGACATGAAGGTTTGCTCAACTCCTTTGTTATTAGGGTAATGAATATTTAAACAATGATGGAGTTACATTTCACCAATCTAAAATGTGTATTGTTAAGTGAAAAAAGCAAGTGGAAAAGGCAAAATACTGTATAATTCCATTTACAGAACACTCTGGAAAAGACAAATGTACAAAGGTAGTAAAAAGATTGGTGGTTACAAGAGGCTTGGGAGAGAGAAAACATGAATATGAATTACAGCAGTTTTCTTTTCTTTTCTTTTCTTTTTTTTTTTTTTTTTTTGAGACGGAGTCTTGCTCTGTCGCCCAGGCTGGAGTGCAGTGGTGTGATCTCGGCTCACTGCAAGCTCCGTCTCCCAGGTTCACGCCATTCTCCTGCCTCAGCCTCCTGAATAGCTGGGACTACAGGCACCCGCCACCACACCGGGCTAATTTTTTGTATTTTTTGTAGTAGAGAAGGGGTTTCACTGTGTTAGCCAGGATGGTCTCGATCTCCTGACCTCGTGATCCACCTGCCTCCGCCTCCCAAAGTGCTGGGATTACAGGCGTGAGCCACCGTGCCCGGCCAAATTACAGGGGTTTTCTATGGGGCAGTGTAATTATTCTGTGTGACGTTACAGTGATGGATACATAACAGTGTTTTTGAAATCCTATAGAATTTTACAACAAAAAGAAATAATCTAAAAGCATGCAAATTTAAAGCATTATTTAGTAGGTTGGGGGAACCCAAAAAGAAATACACAAAATAATGTAACAGTATTACAAATGTATGAGTTATTTCACTGAAGGGAATGGGAGGAGGAAGGGGGAATGACCTGAGTAACTTTAAAAATGAGGGGAGAGTCTAAGTCTAAAAACCAAAGTTGGTGAAAGTCATTTCTCATGGGCATATGGATTACCAATTCTGGAAACACTGTGCATGTCTTTTCAGAATGTAAAACTGTTTACAGAGCCAATTGTCTCACTGTTAGAATGGTAGGCTACATACAAATAAGTGGGAATAGGTAAACTGATTCATCTGCTAATAATTTAGATTATGTGGTAATGGAGCATTAGTAGGAATTCATGTTTAATTTAATATAGATGCATATGGACATATATTGCTATATTTAGAAATATGTGTATATTTATGTGTCAGTATATAGAGATATATTTATTTTCTCGGTCAGCTGGCAAGGCTTTGAATCAACAGATGCCCCAGTAGCAATGAGTGGACCTGGTGCCCAGATCTTTGTTTCAAATTCTATTTTCCAATAAAAGGAACTAGGGCTTCCTGAAGACATGATGGATACTAGGCTTCGGGAAGGAATCAAAACACAAGGAGCCTGGAACACCATGCAGTGCCAGAAAAGAATATGCTAATCAACAATAAAACCAAATAACCAATCACACAACATAAAACTGTAATTACCAGAGTATTTCAAAATGATAGAGGATCAACTAAAAGACCTTTGAATGACCAACAGTAAAACAATTTGAGCAATAAAATAAATGAAGGAGTCCAAGCATGGTGGCCTGCGCCTGTAATCCCAGCACTTTGAGAGGCTACGGTGGGTAGATCACGAGGTCAAGAGATCGCGACCATCCTGGCCAACATGGTGAAACCCTCTACTAAAAATACAAAAATTAGCCGGGCGTGGTGGCACGTGCCTGTAATCCAAGCTACTAGGGAGGCTGAGACAGAAGAATTGCTTGAACCCAGGAGGCAGAGTACGTTGTAGTGAGCCAAGATCGTGTCAATGCACTCCAGCCTGGCAACAGAGCAAGACTCTGTCTCAAAAATATATAAATAAATAAATAAATAAATAAAGTGTAAAATAAATACACACATTTGCATACTTACAGAAATAAGTGATTTAATAAATATAAATGGAAGAAAATATACACACAAATGGTGAAAAACTAAAAATAATTTTTGTAGATATTCTGCCTGTTGGGAGATGGAGCATGACTCCTCATTTCTTATGTGATTAGTAACTTTTTTGATACATACAACATGGAAAATGAGGAAAGGTAATTTATAGTGGAGAAATTTCATATCAACTATCTCATCCAGGTGATCAAATGAACATCAACAGTGATAAAGTGTGATTTTAGTATATATCCTTGATATCATGTAATGAGAATGGCATTTTTTTTTCTCTGTGGTCTTCTACACCAAAATCCACAATCCACCGAAATCTTGTGAAAAACATCAAGTAATCCCAAATCAAGAATGCTCATGTCATCAAAAATGAAAAAACTCCTAGAAACTGTCACAGTCAAAAAAGCCTACATGATATCTAATTGTGATGTGGTATACTAGATGGGATCTTGAAATAGAAACTGGACACTAAGTGCAACAATGAAATATGAATAAAGCATGGGAAGTAGTTAGTGATAATGTATAATATTGGCTGGTTCATTGTGATAAATGTCCTACACTAATATAAGGGGTTAATAATATAGGAAATTCTGTGTGGGGAATACAAGAACTTTTATACTATATTTGCAACTGCTTTGTACATATAAAACTAATCTTAATTTTTAAAACTTTATTTCATTTTATTTATTTATTTTTGATGGGGTCTCACTCTACCACTCAGGCTGGCATGCAGTGGCATGATCACGGCTCACTGCAGACTCGACCTCCTGGGCTCAAGCGATCTTTCCACCTCAGCCTCCTAAGTAGCTGGGACTACAGGTGTGAGTTACCTTACCTGGCCTAATCTTAAATTTTAAAAAGAGAAACTTTTAAAAGTTTCTTGGCAGAGAAACTACCAAGTTTAAGAAACAGCCTTACCATATTTTGATGCCCCCTGGGGGCAGGCATCTCTCTAATGTCATCATCTTCCTTAGCTGTTACAATGAACTATTATGGTGAACTCTTTCTTTGTCATTCTCTACATTTTATTTACTATCTTTCTTTCTATGTTTGTATTTCTAAACTGTATATATTGTTCATTTTTTCTTGTCTTCAAATTTAGATAAAAGCAAGTGTTCAATTTAAACAATACTCCTAGTCTAAACATGAATAAAATCCCACAAATCCATATTGTGGGACATTCTACAAAATTTCTGACCACTATTTTCAAAAGGGTCAAGGTCATGATACACAACTGAAGACTGAGAAACTGTTGCAGACTCAAGAGGACTTGATGTGGCAGGCAGATGGCTACCAGTGATCCCCATCTCTTCATCTACATAACCTTGAATTCTGTTGTGTTTTTGCTGAGTAAGAATAAGAACTTTTATTCACTTGGAAAAAATATAATTTTGCAAAAATGATGAGATATCACTTAGGTAATTATACTGCGTTATGATTTCTGTCTTGCTAGGAACCTCACTCACTTGGTGGCTTTTATGAAGCATTTTGCCATAGGAGAGAAGGCCATTTGGCAAGGAATTGAGTGCAGCCTCTGGTCAACAGCTAGGAAGAGATTGGTGCTTTTGCATAATAAGCTGTCCTGAAGTTTGCAGTACTACATTTAAAACTAATCCAAGCCCCTTTTCAAATTATACGATATCCTTTGCAGGTAGTTTGAGTACCTTACAATAACAAAATAATCCTACTTTCTTCTCCAGTGCCTAGGATTCTTACTGTAATTTATTTTCAGTATACGTAAGCATACTTGCACATATACATATACATGTGCATAGATAATCACATAAATTGTTATTTTCAAGAAACTATTATCTGATAGAAGCTATTAAAAACATTAAAAATTCTTCTTTTTTTTTTTTTTTTGAGACAGAGTCTCTCTCTGTTTCCCAGGCTGGAGTGCAGTGGCTCAATCTCGGCTCACTGCAAGCTCCACCTCCTGGGTTCACGCCATCCTCCTGCCTCAGCCTCCCGAATAGCTAGGACTACAGGCACCCGCCACCGCACCCGGCTAATTTTTTGTATTTTTAGTAGAGACGGGGTTTCACCGTGTTAGTCAGGATGTTCTCAATCTCCTGACCTCGTGATCCGCCTGCCTTGGCCTCCCAAAGTGCTGGGATTACAGGCGTGAGACACCGCGCCCAGCCAAAAACATGAAAAATTCTTAAACCACTTAAAAGGTAAAAATCATACATCTTTATCTTGCTATCAAGAAATACCTGAGGCTGGGTAATTTATAAAGAAAAGTGGTTTACTTGCCTTATGATTCTGCAGGCTGTGCAAGAAACACGGTGCCGGCATCTGCATCTTTTGAGGGCCTCAGGCTGCTTCCACTCAATAGCAGAAGGTAAAGGGGAGCTGATGTGTGCAGAGATCACATGTTGAGAGAGGAAGCAAGAGAGAGGTGGCTAAGTGCCAGGCTCTCTTCAACATCCAGTGCTTGCAGGAACTAAGGGGTGGGAACTCACTCAATCCTGTGAGAATGGCACCAAGCCATTACTGAAGGATCTCTCTCCATGATCAAAACACCTCCCATCATGCCTCACATCCAACACTGGGGATCAAATTTCAACATGAGACCAAACAAACCGTATCCAAACCATAGCATGGGGCCAAACTAACCATACCCAAACCATAGCATGATATGTAACTTACATGAAAAGGAGAAAAACTATAACCATATGAAATGCTCAGCTAAAACAACAACAGGCAGAAAATGAGTGGAAGAAAAAAATTAAGAAAAAACGAGCAACAAATAGAAAACAGTAATGAATATGGCAGATATTAATCCAACTACATCAATAATCGTTCTGAATGGCAAATGGTGTAACTGCATAAATTAAATTAGATTTGCCAGAGTGGATGACAAAGAAGACCAATTATATATTTTCTCCAAAAAAATCTGCCTTTAATATAAAGCCACATGTAAATTAAAAGTAAATAGATGTAGCAAATAGCATAGTAGATAACAGTAATCAAAGAAAGCAAGATTAGCCATATTAATTTCAGATAGAGCAGACATCAAAATAAGGAAAGTTACTAGGAACAAAAATTGACATTACATTAAGATGAAGGGGTAAGTCTCCAACAAGAGATAACAACCCCTAAACTGTATCCACCTAACAATAGAACATCAACCTACATGAGGCAAAATGTGACAGAAATGGAAGGATGAAGAGACGAATTCAATATTACACTTGGAAACTTCAAGACCCTCTATGAGAAACTGCCAGATCCAGCAGGTAGAGTTGCAGTGAGGACATAGCTGAACTCAACAGCAACATCAGTCAACTGGTTAGAAATGACATCTACAGCCTACTTCATCAAACAAATTCAGACTACACATTCTTCTTAAGCTCATCTGGAATACATTTACCAAGACAGAACACAATCTGGCCATAAAACATACCATAAAAAGGAATGGAAATCATAAAATGTATGTTCACAGACCACAGAATCATAAAACTAGAAATCAAGGGATAACTTGAAAAATAACTAGAAAATCTTGAAATGCATGTGGACTGAACAACAAACTTGTTATAAATAGGGTCAAAGAAGAAATCACAAGAGAAATGTAAAAGAAAATACTTCTAAATAAAAATAAAACTAAATAAAAATAAAAACATAACACCGAAATTTGTGTGATACAATGAAACAACATATAGATGGAAATGTATAGCATTGAATGTATACATCCGAGAAAAAAGGTCTAAATTCAATCATCTGAGTTTCCATCTTTCAAACTTAGAAAAGGAAGAGTAATTCCAAAGTAAGTAAAATGAACAGTATTATATAAAGAGTAAAGTAAAAGTAAAAGCTACAGCTACTGGATTATTCAAACAAGTGTCAATAGCATCATGGTTCCCAGAATATAGAAGTATTGAAAAGTAATAGAAAAATATAACACTCCCCCAAAACATAATTGCTTAGGAGCATGTAGCAGAGATCCTCCTCTGAAATAAGGAGATACTAATTTGCAGAATTGATAAAAAGCATGGTATCACAGGGTAATGTCATTTGTTTATTAAATTGTATTGCATATTTTTATATTGCTAAAATAATAGATTTTTTAACTTTTCACCAGAAAAAAAAGATAAACTGGTGAAGCGATGGATATGTTCATTAAGTTTGATTAAATCTTAATTAAATGTACACATAGATAAAATCTAAACACATTGTAACCCATAAATATACACAATTATTATATGTGAATAAAAAGGTAACTATGCAAATGGTTTACCAATAATCTGACAATACAAAATTTAGGTAATTGTAGATACGTGATGGAAATAGGCAAATCTGACAGAAAGAATGAAGTTAAAATATCTGTCGTGGTCTAAGAAAATCATTAGGTTTGTATGAGAATATCACAGAACATGGAGGAGACATGCAGACACAAATGGGTAACATGGTAATGTCCACCGAGAAACGTCCTGTAAAGGTAGCCCACACCACCCACCGCTCATTTCCTCTTGCCAGAACCTCAGGCCCCTTATTGGCCTCCCCTGTACATCTGGCCTCAGATTAGCTCTCTGAGCAGGTTTGAAAACCTGAAATCCCCTCATCAGCACTGCCTGTTGGGCTGTTTTCAGCCTCCCATATGTGGGCAAGGGTGGCCGTGAGTGAGTCATACTGAATTTTCTGATCCCACTTATACCTGCAAAATGACTGAAGGGAGAGAAACCTCTACTTAGGGTGCGGTGGGAGGTCTGTGCGATGGAGGCACAGAGGAGATCTGGAGCATTTAAGGTCCCTAAGCTGGCCAGTCATCTAGCCTGGGGGTCCTCTCTGCCCCTCTCAACCCTCCCTCCTCCTGAGATCCAATCCTCCTGGTAATGCCCAAGGATCTCCCAGTGGGCAGGGGCCATCCTCATTCATTCCGTCTTCCTGAGAAGCATACCTCATGGACTGCATAACATTTCAAAAAAGAAACTGAGGCATTCCATTTCTTTCCCACAGAATGCAGTCCTCAGGGAGCGGCCCTGCCTTCCCTGTCTAGTCCCTCCATGGTCTGCCCTTCCTGCTCCTGCTTTCTCACGTATTACTCATCCCAGAAATCCTTCCAATCAACTGTCATCTTCTCATGGCCTGGCCTGTGCCATGGACACACTGTTTCCTCCTCTCTTCCCCTCCCCTGTCTGCTGGACTCACTGCTCCTCACTCTCCAGCATCTCCTCCATGCTCCTCCTCCTGGAGGCCTCCCTTGTCCATCCCATCCCAGGCCTGATGCCTGTCCCCTGAGTTCCCAAGGGCAGCTCTTCTACCTACAGTTTAGTTTTGGTTATATTTTCTGAATCTCCGTTGAACCAAGGCATCAGAAAATATGTAAACTTCTCTGTGTTGTTCTCCTGTGACCCCCCATGCATATAGTGGTCAAAGAATAATACGAAAGGTGCTGATCATCTAAAAGTCACACACGAGAAACTTTTAAAAATATTTATAGCTGATAAAATAAACATTAAGTTTCAACTCCCTTTCTACCATACCATTTCTATTACGTATTCTAATATATTTAATCCTCTACAAAAATATGTGCTGCCTAACATATATGTACACATTTTCTGAGTGGTATTTTAAAATTGAAAACTAAAGATGCTTTTAGTATTCACTTATCAAAGAGTAAGAAAATGATACAAATCTATATTATAAGCCATCTGTACAGAGATATGTCATGAATACTTTTAGAAGAACTACTTGGAATGAATCAGAAAGTCCAGCCAATGTTTCTAACTTTGGGGTAAGAGAAAAACAAACATGCATATTAACAAAATTCCTGTCCAGAAAATCGATCTCTCAATGCTCTGTCTACAAAAATTAGTAATTTTTAACCTTTAAAAACCAGGACAAACTGAATCATATAATGGCAATAGTCACATCTCTTATTCACAATGATGTTCTCAGCATATTTTGTCTTGTGGTTTCCAGAAAAATCTTTGTTCCTCTTCTTTCCAACTAGAGGTATTTTAGAGAACATTTCCAGAAAACGATAAAAGAGAGAATGCGTAACATCTGTCTTTCCTAATAAAAGTGATATTCCCATTTAATAAAGAGTAATGAATGAAAAGAAGAAAATAATTGAAAAGGTATGCTGAAAAATGATTGTAAATGCATTGTTAAAGGTAGGATGAAAGGCATTAATACACAATACAAAAACACACATTTGGGTTGTAGATGATGCCAAAAAATAAATTTATACACAAATGTTAAAAGCATTTGCATGCCAAAACAAAAACCAAGAAGAAATTATTACAAGCAAGGTTTGTGGGCATTGTATCATTGTTCAGTAAGAAGAATGACTGCTGAACTAACTCGATCTTTGTACAAAACAGCTGAATTCCCGCATGGTCCCCAAAGGGTAGCTGCTAGACAGGCAGATCCAAAAGAGAGGCTCTGAACTCAGCTGTACCTTCTGTGTTCCCATGCTTAATGGGATGGTCTGGAGGAGGTGACCACAGTCACTGGGCAGTCTGTACTTGTGCAAAAGCCATGCAGGGATGTCTATACAGGCTCCTGATCTGCTCCCTGTTGCTGCTGGAGTAGAAAGTTCCTCCGGCTTCGTAAAGCAGAGAAAGAAAATAAGGGGGCATGAGATTGAAAGAAACTTGCTGAGATGATACTAAGTGACACATGGGGTGGTGTTGGGGGATTGTTTAAGATGCAGCAGAACACTAGAAACATAAGTATCAACAGCAATGTTATAAAGTTCTATGCTCTCTGCTTCATTCAAGGCACAGCTTGGAATACTGGTGTAGGTGCAAGGCACACAGCTTTTCACTCTTCTATGTCTTCATTACACAATACCACAGTGGTTAAGAGAATGGGCTATTTGCAGAGATGTATGTGCCCACGAGGACAATCACATCACTGCTGCCTCTGACCAAGAGTATTTCTACAATGTCTATTTTAAGATGCATTTATATCTGAAATATGTGAAAATACCTACCGTAGGATCAACATAATATACCCTTTTTCTCTGTGACTACACATTTATCAGTGTAATGTCACTGCTGACCTGTTGTATTCTGGTCTATTATCGAAGGAATATGTTTCAATATAGGTTTATTTAACTTGCCCAACTGTATTTACCTTCTGCCTAGATACTGGAGATATTAGAGCTTTTAGCGAACTACCGGAATTTCTCTTTTAAATGTTGTAGTAAATACTTACAATTCTATATATTGCCTCAGAATTCATATTAAATATAGGTTTTATTTACTCATATCAGAACCAGGGTTTAGTCATCCATGACACCATTTCCAGTTCTCCACCTTCTTCCAATTCCTTAATGTGGTGGATCCAGATATCTCCTCATACAACCCCTCCAGGTCACTACTCCCTATGGGACAGCTAGATGCAACACTTGACTTGCCCCACTGACCTCCATTCCCCATGTACAATGTATAGACATTCCAGTGAGCACCTCTACATCACAGGATGACTTCATGAAACTCATGCCTTCTTGCTGTAAACCAACAGCTGGAACTTCCTATGAGAAACCGATTTGGGTTACACTCTGGAACCCAATAAAGGCTGCAGCCCACTGGTCCCTCATTCCATCACCCTCCCTTTGACACTCACCCCACTCCCATTTGCTGTGGGTGTATGTTTCAGACAGCTCTTGCCTTCCCATTGGCCTTGGGAGGCATGCTATTTTCTTCTTTCTGGGATCTTTGAGTAATACAGTGCTTCTGTTATTTCACCAGTTTTGTGTTTTACTCTGTCGTACACAACCAACACACCTGAACCTAAATTCTTTCTCATCTGGGGCTCTCCTAGAGAGTGGCTACCTTGGTAGAAGTAAACTGTACATAGGTCAGACAAGAGCTTCAAGGGCATGTGCTAGTATAAACAAGTTTCCTGTGAGAAGAACACCTGGTGACATCTAGGACATTTAGATATTAGGAAATACACCAGGATAAAGAAGTATCCCACGAAAGGTAGACATTGTAGACAACAAGGAGTTAATCTTCTGGAGTCCCATTTGGTAAGGCTATACTTTACAGCCACTGTAGAGAGACAGAACTCAAGAGTAAACTACAAGCAGGGTGCGGTGGCTGACGCCCATAATCCCAGCACTTTGGGAGGCGGAGGCCGGCGGATCACTTGAGGTCAGGAGTTTGAGACCAGCCTGGCCAACATGGTGAAATCCCGTCTCCACTAAAATACAAAAATTAGCTGCGCATGGTGGCACATGCCTGTAGTCCAAGCTACTCGGGAAGGAGAGGTGAGAGAATGGCCTGAACCTGGGAGGTGGAGGTTGCAGTGAGCCTAGATTGTGCTACTGCACTCTAGCCTGGGCAACAGAGCAAGACTCAGTCTCAAAAAAAAAAAAAAAAAAAAAAAAGAGTAAACTATAGATAACAAAGATACATCATAAGTGGAAAGGTAACTTTGTAGACTATGGTTCATAATGTTCATTGAGAAGGAAGATAGAAATAGTAAAGAGTTACTTCAAAGTTTTCACTTGAGTGAAATTCTCTGAAGACAGAAAAATCTGTATCTTGGAAATGTATGCCTTAATCATAATGTAATATTCTCAATCAGCTGCACTGCAAATCTAATTCTTCAATCCAGAATGATTATATATTTATATTTTCCATTTGTGTTAGTCTGTTCTCACATTGCTATAAAAAACAAACAAACAAACAAAACTGGCCGGGTGTGGTGGCTCACGCCTGTAATTGCAGCACTTTGGGAGGCCAAGGTGGACGGATCATGAGGTTAGGAGTTTGAGACCAGCCTGACCAACATGGTGAAACCCCATCTCTACTAAAAATACAAAAATTAGCCGGGCATAGTGGCGTGCGCCTGTAATCCCAGCTACTCGAGAGGCTGAGGCAGGAGAATGGCGTGAACCTGGGAGGTGGAGGTTGCGGTGAGCCGAGATTGCGCCACTGCACTCCAGCCTGGGCGACAGGGCTAGACTCCGTCAAAAAAAGAGAAAAAAAAAAAAAACTGAGATCATGCAATTTATAAAGGAAAGAGGTTTAATTGGCTCACAATTCTGTAAGGCTGCACAGGAAGCATGATGCTGGCATCTGCTCACCTTCTGGGGAGGCTTCAAAACACAATCATGACTGAAAGTGAAGGAGGAGCAGGCACAACACATAGCCAGAGCAGGAGCAAGAGAGAGGCTGGGAACTGCCACAAACCTTTAAACAACTAGATCTTGTGAGAACTCACTATAGTGACAACAGTACCAAGGAGAACAGTGCTAAACCATTAATGAGAAACTTCCTCCATGATCCAGTCACCTCCTACCAGGCCCCACCTTCAATACTGGGGATTATATTTCAACATGATATTTGAGCAGGAATACAAATCCACAATACATCACCATTCATCTTTCTAATCACATGAATGATGCTCACACCAATAACAACTTTATGAATAGTCACTGCAGATGCAGATGCATTGTAGTTTTCACAAAATGTTCTTCTCTGACCACTTGTTCCTCTGGTCAACTTTACTTTCAGGTACTTAGAAATGAAATGGGCTTTGGTGTTGCCTAAAGAGTATGTTTAATGAAGAAGAAATTCATATAATTTATAATTTAGGATGCTGGGTTTATTGGCACTAAAATTTTCAAATTCTAGGAAGGCTCGATTAAGTTAACAACAAGCCTTGATCTCAGAAACAGAAGCTATGCATCCACTGAACACTCTTTTCTATTCAGAATAGAGGGTGGAGACAGTGTTGGCTCCTGATGACATCTAAGACTTTAGACCTTTTCAATGGCATCTTTCTAAGAGTTCTTGTAGGCAGGGCAGCCTAAGTGAAATCTGGTAACAAGCTGTTAAACAGGTTGTGAGAAATCACATCTTCCAGGCTATCAGTCATGTTTGGGAACTCAGTCCTCAGCATTGTGCTGTCTGTGCCAGTGACATCATATTAGCACAGTTTTGTGTCTGAAATTTATTTTTTTTTAACTCAGCACACAGAGCTCATTGTCACTCTTGCCATTTTGGGATGGATCACTCCTTGTCCATATCCTCTTGGGTCTCCTTTATGGTCTGCCATTCTACTTTTTTGTCCCCTGAAGATTTTGGTGAGGGATGTTATTCACAGTATACAACATCATAATAGACTATAATGTATACATAAAAATGAAGAGGAAATGCATTTTACAAGTCACTTAGCTTATAGGAACTCCTGTTACAATTAACAGAATAACTCTCCTTGTTTTAAGATTATCAATTTAAAGGAAATTATCCTTATTCATGGAGCAAAATATAAGCATGGAAGAGTGAGAAGGATTATTGAAATACAAATGTCCATTTTAACAGCACCTAAATATCTGCTATCCTGACCTCAGTGGTGAGATATGTGGCCCAGGTCAGCTGTATCTTCTCACTCCAGGTCTGCAGGCTGCAGAAGCTCATTTTCTCATTGAAGCTATAACTGCAGCGTGGAGAATATTCTCCAGATTATGGACAATAGAAGCAAGAGCCTTGACCTTGTGGATTTCTGTGGGAGTGCAGTAGGTACTCCTATGGCTTTGTACGCTTTGTATGCATGGTTCCTGCGCACAGGCCTGGGGCTACCCAGCAGAGTGCTGAGATCTGTGAACAGGGAGCTGTGCATGGCATGAGTGGACCTGGTTTTTAAAGTTTCTTTCCCTTTTTATTTTCTTGTTTTGAGACAAGGTCTCACCTGTCACCCAGGCTGGAATGCAGTGGCACGATCTTGGCTCACTGCAGCCCCCGTCCCCTGGGCTCAAGTGATCCTCCCACCTCAGTATCCTGAGTAGCTGGGACCACAGGTGCATACCACGACACCAAGCTATTTTTTTGGTATTTTTAGTAGAGATGGGGTCTCGCTATGTTGCCCAGGCTGGTCTTGAACTCTGGAGCTTAAGTGATCCTCCTGCCTGGGCCTCCCAAAGTGCTGGGATTACAGGCATGAGACACCACAGCTGGCCAAAGGTTTCTTTTCCTGATCTGTATAAACAGAGGCTGGCCTAAAGCCCCATGTTTATTAAAGCCTGTTGTTGTTATTGTTGTTATGTGTGTGCCCTACGCACCTGCTACCACTATGATATTTAATCTGTGGCTTTTGGACTTGGCAATGTTCAATATAAATCCATAAGGTTAAGTGTCAGTGGAGTGCATGGTCCCAAAGAATTCATGATTGGGTTTGTAGAAGAAAAAGATTAATTAACCAAGGTGTTTCTCAAAGGCTTGAAGATACAGTTCTCTTTTAAAACTTGAAAAAGGAATCCCTGTACTAAGAAAACACCCTTGAGGCTAGGCGCAGTGGCTCACACCTGTAGTCCCAGCACTTTGGGAGGCTGAGGCGGCTGGATCGCCTGAGGTTAGGAGTTCGAGACCAGCCTGGCCAACATAATGAAACCTCGTCTCTACTAAAAATACAAAAATTAGCTGGGCATGGTGGCAGGCGCCTGTAATCCCAGCTACTCAGGAGGCTGAGGCAGGAGAATGGCTTGAATCCTGGAGGTAGAGGTTGCAGTGAGCCGAGATGGTGCCATTGCACACTCCAGCCTAGGCAACAAGAGAGAAACTCCATCTCAAAAAAAAAAAAAAAGAAAAGAAAACAATGTGGAACAAGTAGTATCCACATGCAAACTGAACTGTCTTATACCCTTGAATGCAGAATTGTGATATATGTTCCCCGTATATTTCTCAATATTATGATAGCTTCTAACGAATGGAAGCCATGTCTTTTAAAAAGTCTTTAGTGGATCCAACAGATACACTGCCAATGTCTGAAAATGGGGCTTTATGAGGTATGGGAGGCACAGGCCACTATCTTTAAAGAAGTAGTGACAAACAAAATGGTGACTGTGTAATGGGAAGTTTTACAGGAAGGGAGAAAATTGAGGGGAGTCCCTAGTGATTGTGGGAGTCTTCTTGAAATAGGTTCATCTGGGTTTGGAATGGTGGATAATAGGCAAACTGCTTTGCCATTCTTTCCCGACATCTCTGTTCATCCTCTGATCAAAGGTTTTTTTTGTTGTTGTTGTTTTTGTTTGTTTTGTTTTGTTTTGTTTTTTTGGAGCAAACAAATACATTTTAAAATGTTTTTATTTTGAAAAAATTTTAGATGTATAGAAAAATGCAAAGATAGGCCAGGTGTGGTGGCTCACACCTGTAATCTCAGCACTTTGGCAGGCCAAGGCGCACGGATCACTTGAGGTCAGGAGTTTGGGACCAGCCTGGCGAACATGGTGAAACCCGTTCTCTGCTAAAAATACAAAAAAAAAAAAATTAGCCTGGCGTGGTGGTGTGTGCCTGTAACCTCAGCTACTCGGGAGGCTAAGGCAGAAGAATCACTTGAACCCTGGAGGCGGAGGTTGCAGTAAGCTGAGATCACGCAATGGCACTCCAGCCCAGGTGACAGAGTGAGGCTCTGTCTCAAAAAAAAAAAAAAAAGAAAGAAAAATGCAATGATAGTACAGAGTGTTTCATATACCTTTCAGCCTCCTGTAATGTTTATACCTTACATAGCCACAGTATGTGTATGAAAACTCAGAAAACTGGTGGTACAAAACTAGTAACTGAAATACAGGCATTCTTCGTGTTGTATTAGGTTTTCACTAATATCTTTTTTCTATTGCATGATCTAATCTAATATAACACACTGCAGTTACTCCCACGTATATTAGTTATTTATTACTGCATAACAAGTTACCTCAAACCTTAGTGACTCAGAACCTCATAAATGTGTTACCCATGGTTTTTCAGGGTCACATGACTCAGGCTGAGGTTACAACTGAAGGCTTGCCTAGGGAAGGTCACCTTCCAAGCTCATGTAATTGTTGTTAGAATTCAATTCTTGTCTAGGGCAAAATGACGGGTGAATTACTCTAAACCTGTTAAGAATGAATAACAATCCTTTACTAACTCTTCCTCAAAGAAAAAAAAAAGAGAAGACAAAATTTACCAATCTATTCTATGAGGGCAGTTATCCTGATACCGCAATGGGACAAATATATTTCAGGATAGGAAAATTACAGACCAATATGCCTCATGAAACAGAGGCAAAAATTCTCAAAGAAATACTACCAAAACATATCAGCAACATATGAAAAGGATTATACACTATGACCAAGGATATTTATCACTGGAATGTCAGTTCGGTTAAACATACAAAAGCAATTGGTGTAAGACATTGTATTAATAAGATGAAGGACAAAATCCAAATGATTATTGCAAAAGATACAGAATAAGCACTTGATAAACCCAAAACCTATTCATGATAAAAACTCTGAACAAATTAGGGATAGAAGGGAACTTTCTCAGCCTAGAAATGGCATCCATTAAAAGCTCACATAATATAACCTATCATGAAAGTCTCAGTAATTTCCCCAAGATTAGAAATGTGACAAAAAATAATCATTTTTCAAATCATACAGAACTTAATACCACTTTTGCCACTTCTATTCAATATTGTACAGAAGGAGGTAGCCAGGGTAATTAGGCTAGAAAATAAATAAAAGATACCTAGATTGTAAATCAAGAAATCAAACTGTTTATATTTGCAAATGACAGGATCTCATGTATAGAAAATCCTGACATATCCACTAAAATAAGAATATAACCATAAAAGAGTTCAGTAACATTGCAGTACACAAAGTAAACTTTGAAATCAACTATATTTCTATGTACTAACAATTAATCCAAAAATGAAACCCAGAAACCTTTTTTCCATATTTTTGCAGTAACTGGCAAGCTGATTCTAAAATTCCTATGGAAATCGAAGTACTCCAGAAGAGACAAAACAATCTTGAAAAAACAATTTTGGAGTATTGCAGTCACACTTCCAAATTTCAAAATGTACTGCAAACTGATAGTAATCAAGACATTGTAGTACCAATATGAGGACTGACATATGTGTTAATGGAATTGAGTTGAGTGCCCCAAATTAACCTTTACATACATGGTAAACTGATTTTAAAAGCTTGCCAAGACAATTCAATATGAAAAAATAGTTTTTGCAACGAATTTTCTGGGACAAGTGGTATCCACATGCAAACTGAACTGTCTTATACCATATATGTCGTTGACTCAAAATCAAACATCGACCTGAATATAAATGCTAAAACTAAAAATCCCAAAAAAGAAACAGCTTCACCTTAGGTGAAACAATCAATTCCAAAATACGACACCAAAATACAAGTGACAAAAGAAAACACTGGATGAAACAGACTTCATCAGAATTAACTTTTGTGACTCAAAATACACCACTGAGACAATCCAAGAAAGTAAGAAAATATTTCCAAATCACAGAGCTGATAGAGGACTATTATCCAGAAAATACGGATCACTCATACAACTCAAAAATAAAAAGACGAATATAATAATGAAAAGTGAGTGTGGTGGCTCCCACCTGTAATCCCAGCTCTTTGGGAGGCTTAGGCAGGCAGATCACGAGGTCAGGAGTTCGAGACTAGCCTGACCAACATGGTGAAACCCTGTCTCTACTAAAAATACAAAATTAGCTGGGCGTGGTGGTGCGCGCCTATAATCCCAGCTACTCAGGAGGCTGAGGCAGGAGAATCACTTGAACCAGGGAGGCAGAGGTTGCAGTGAGCCGAGATCCTGCCACTACACTCCAGCCTGGGCAACAGAGCAAGACTCTGTCTCAAAAAAAAAAAAATGTGAGTAAACTGTGTCAATAGACATTTCTCCAAACGACTATAGAAATGTCCACTAAGGGCATAAAAATATGTTTAGCACTTTTAGTCCATAGTGAAATGCAAATCTAAACCATCATGAGACATGCTTTATAATTTTTTTTTTTTTTTTTTGGTCGGGGTCTCTTGGTCTCCCGGCTCTGTAGCCCAGTTTGGAGTGTAGTGGTGTAATCACAGTTCACTGTAAGCTTGAACTCCTGGGCTCCAGGGATCTTCCTACCTCGGCCTCCCAAGTAGCTAGGACTACAGGCATAGGCCACCACACCCAGCTTATTATTATTTTTTTTAATTTTAGAGGCAGGCTGTCACCTTGTTGCCCAGGCTGGTCTAAAAATCCTGGCTTCAAGCAACTCTCTTACCTCAGCCTCTCAAAGTGCTGCGATTACAGGTATGAACCACCGTGTCTGTCCACACTTCACAAATCTTAAGGGCATATTCATCATTGAAAAAAGCTAGTTTGGGCCGGGTATGGTGGCTCATGCCTGTAATCCCAGCACTTTGTAAGTCTGAGATGGGTGGATCACCTGAAGTCAGGAGTTCAAGACCAGCCTGACCAACATGGAGAAACCCCGTCTCTACTAAAAATACAAAATTAGCTGGGCGTGGTGGTGTATGCCTATAATCCCAGCTACTGAGGAGGCTGAGGCAGCAGAATCACTTGAACCCGGGAGGTGGAGGTTGTGGTCAGCCGAGATCACGCCATTGCACTCCAGCCTGGACAACAAGAGCAAAACTCCATCTCAAAAAAGAAAAGAAAAAAGAAAAGAAAAAAGCTAGTTTGAAAAAACTATTTACTGTGTAATTCCATTTATACGACATTGTGAAAAGGTAAAATTATAGCAAATGAAAAAGATTAGTGGGTATGAGGAGCTTGGAACAGAAGAAGGCTCAATAAATAGGGGAAATGGGGAAGATTTTGTGAAGCCAAATTCTTCTCTATGATACTATAAGGATGTGTTAATAATCGTTTTTCAAATCATATAGAACTTAATATCACAAAGAGTAAACCTAAATGCATACATTGAATCATCATTAAATAAGGCATTACACATTACTTAGTATGTTTGGAGACCCCAGGGAGCAATTCAGACAAAATAATCTAACAGTATAAGAAATAACTTCACTGCAATGTGTAGACTAAAAGGGGACTGACTCCTTTTAGAAACTTAGTCAGTAAAGATAGATTCTAAGCCTAATGGCCAAAGGATTTGAATAAAAGCACTGTACTTCAGTTATTAAATTTATTTCCCATGGGAGTAGAGATGACCAATTCTGTAACCACTATGCATGTATTTTGAGACTCAATAATTAACTAAAGGAGGCCAACTTCCTCAGTTAGAGTGAGAGGTTAGGTAAAGTACTGGGAAAGGGGAGATATTACAGATTCATGTTTTCCTGGATTCCACTGATGTGAACCCAGGGACAGTAGAAATTCAGGTTTAACTTTATATAGATAAATGTGGATAAGTATGGAAATATTTACACATATATACATATGTGTAAGTTAGTATAAACATACATATTCTTTGCTATCAGCTGACAAAACCATATTATTTGCTGTCAAGTGATAAAGCTTCAAATCAGTAGATTCTTAGTAGAAATACGTATACCCATGGACGAGATCTTTGTTGCTAATACCATTCACCAAAAAAGGAGCTAAGATGCCCTAAATAAATGGTTAATACCAGACTTGGGCAGGGAATCACCACAATTAACCTGGAGCACCTTGTATTACCAGAAAGTAAGAAAAATCTAAGCAGCAACACAAACAATCAACCAACAAACCAGACAAACAAAATTGAATTGCAATGATGGAACTTTTTCAAAGTCATACAGGAACCAACTAAAAGACCTTTCAGTGGCCAAAACTTAAAAAAAATGAGCGCTGGAATAAATAAAGTAGGTATACGGTAAGAAAAATATCACGATTTAATGTAACAATCCATAAAAGTAAAATATTGAATAAATAAATAAATACTAAATTGAGGAAAATAGATAAATTGACCACAGTGAAGAAATACAAATGATATTTATAGAGGCTCTGCCTATTAGGAGGTAGTGCAAGTTTCTCTGTTTCTTAAGTGTGTGCTGTGCACAATGACTTTTGAAAAGCACAACTCTGAAAGAGGAAAAATGATTAATTTTACAAGAAAGAAACCTGACCAAAACTACAACATCCAGATAATAAAATTAACATTAACAGTGACAAAGCTCATTGAAAGGATACACACTTAAGAGTACTGTAATGAGAATGGCACTTTCCCTCTGTGGTCCTCCGTGCCAAAACCCACCCATCCAGGCTAATCATGAGAAAAGCAACAGAGACGTCCCAGATTAAGGGCAATGAGGTTATCAAAAACAAAGAAAGTCTTGAGAAACTGGCACAGGAAAAAGGAGCCTAAGGAGAGAGGATATCTCAATGTGATGTGGGATCCCAGATGGGAACCTGGAACAGAAATGGACATTAAGTGAAAAACTAAGGAATTCTGAATAAACTGTGGATATTAGTGAGGGATAAATGTGTAATATTGGTTTATTAATTGTGACAAAGGTGCCACAATAATGTATGAGATTAATAATCAGAAAAAACTGGGTTGGGTGTTTGTAAAGTCTCTGTATTCACTTTCTAACTGCTCTGTAAGCCCAAAACACTTCCAAAATTTAAAAAAGATTCTTACCCTTTTTTATAATTCACTGTGGAGCTCAATAAACAGAACACTATTAATGTTACCAATGCGCACAAATGTATTTCCCAAATTCTACTTTCTTCCTTACCCTGGTGAAGGCTACTATTATTTTGAATTACCTATTTTGCATTCTCTTATTTCCCCTTTTTTATTACGTTTGTTTATCTAAGTAATATAATATCCAGCTTTTCTTGTCTTCAAGGTTAGATAAATGTAAATGTCTAAATTAATCCATAACCCTAGTCAAATTATGAGAAACTATTTAGATACATATTGTGATACATCATGCAAAATACCTGACATTCTTTTTTTTTTTTTTTTTTTGAGATAGAGTCTCGCTCTGTCACCCAGGCTAGAGGGCAGTGGCGAAATCTCGGCTCACTGCAAGCTCCGCCTCCCGGGTTCACACCGTTCTCCTGCCTCAGCCTCCCGAGTAGCTGGGACTACAAGTGCCCGCCACCATGCCCAGCTATTTTTTTGTATTTTTAGTAGAGACGAGGTTTCACCATGTTAGCCAGGATGGTCTCCAACTCCTGACCTTGTGATCCACCCACCTCGGCCTCCCAAAGTGCTGGCATTACAGGTGTGAGCCACCGCACCTGGCCAATACCTGACATTCTTAAGTGGAGACTGAGAAACTTTTGCAGAATAAACAGGACCTGACGTGGCAGGTAGACCCAATGATGGTGCCCAAATATCTTGGCTTATACAACCTTGGGTACTAGTTCTTTGTTTCTGAGTGTGGACAAAAAGTGTGACTGGCATGTAAACGATAGAATACTGGAAAGTTGAAGACTTTAGTGATTATGACACAAATTGTGATTTCTGTCTTCCCTGCAAGCTCTCTCTCCCTTGGTGGTTTTGATGGAGTACTCTGCTCTGTGAGAGAAGCTCACACGGAAAGAAAACAAATGCAGCCTCTGGCCAATGGCCAGCAAGGAACCGGGGCCCTTGATCCAATAACCAGTCCAACAGTTTGCAGTTTACATTTACAACTAATCCAAGCTCCCTTTCAAATAAGAGTATATCATTTCTGAGGTAGTATGACTACTTGTAATAAGAGAATAATATGAATTCTTCCCTCTCATTCTTTGTATCATTGTTGTCATTCATTTTACCTATATATAAGCATATTTGCAAATATATTTATGTATATGAATTTGTATGTATGACATATATATAAGCATACCTAGTCAAATACACTGTTGATATCATTATTTTTAACAATATGGTATCCATTAGATCAATTAATGATATGAAAAATAAAAGTTTTTATTCCTAGGATTAAAAAAAGTAAAAAAAAAGCAAATATGACTGACATACTGATAAAGGAGAGAAAATTATATAAAATGCTCTATTAAAACCACAAAACACAGAAAACTAGTAGGTGACAAAAACTGGAACACAGACAAGTGTCAACTTTAAGATATTAATAAGTATGATCGATATTAATCTGTCTATATCACTATTCACTTTGAATGCCAATAGTCTAAATGAACCAATTAAAAGACAATGATTGTCAGAGTGAATGGGAAAAAAAATACAGTGCAACTATATGTTCTCTACAAGAAATGCACTTTAAATAAAGCACACATATAAATTAATGGATACCCTATTTATGCTGATGTGATTATTAATGTATTGCATGCCTGTATCAAAACATCTCAAGTAACCAATAAATACACGATGTAACCACAAAAACTAAAAATTTAAAGTTACAAAAGTAAATGCATAAAACAAAATATATCATGCTACCACTATTTGTAAGAAAGCAGGAATACCAATATTAATGTTGGAGATAACAGATTTTGAAGCAAGGAAGACTATCAGTGATAACCAAGTACTTCCCAGTTCTTGACATCCCTTGTCCGGAGAAGGAAGGACACATCACTGCATCACCTGAGCTTGTTCAGGAGCCACCCAGGCTGTTTTATTTTTGTTTTTTGTTTCTTTGAGATGGAGTCTAGCTCTGTCACCAGGCTGGAGTGCAGCGGTGCGATCTCAGCTCACTGCAAACTCCACCTCCCAGGTTCAAGCAATTCCCCTGCCTCAGCCTCTCAAGTAGCTGGGACTACAGGTGTGCACCGCCATGCCTGGGTAATTTTTTGTATTTTAGTAGAGACGGGGTTTCACCATGTTGGCCAGGATGGTCTCAATCTCCTGACCTTGTGATCTGCCCGCCTCAGCCTCCCAAAATGCTGGGATTACAGATGTGAGTCCCCGTGCCTGGCTCACTCAGGGCTGTTTGTTAAGGTTCCCACCTCCATAAGCTGTGTACAGTAAAAAATAAAGTCCCTAAGTCTCCAGAAAGCAAGAAAGGAAAAAGAGAGGACATACCAAAAAATACTGAGAATGTACTAAAAATGTTGCCATAAGTGATAATGGGAGTATTGACTCAAGACTCACAAAATAATAGAGACAGCAGTGCAACACCAATGTTCTAATTTTCTAAACACACCTGTTTATTCAAAGTTAAGTTGGGGGCTGGGCATGGTGGCTCATACCTGTAATCTCAGCACTTTGGGAAGCCAAGATAGGAGAAGCACTTGAGCCCAGGAGCTCAACATCAGCATGGGCAACACAGTGAGACCTCATCTGTACAAAATGTTTTAAAAAATTAGCCAGGTGTGGTGGCACACACCTATAGTCCAAGCTACTTACTAGGCTGAGGTGGGATGATCACTGGAGCCTACAAGGTCAAGGCTGCATTGAGCCATGATCGTGCCAGTGCACTCCAGCCTGCGCAACAAAGTGAGACCGTGTCTCAAAACAAAAACAAAAAGTTAAGCTGGGCATACTGGTATAGGTAGAAGGCATGCAGATTTTTAACTTTTCTCATGAATCATTACAGAATAGCCAAGTGATTAAGAGAAAAGGCACTGGAATAAAACTTCTTGGGTTCAATGAAGTCTCTTACTAAGTGTGGTATTTGCACAAAGATAGAGAAATGAACGAATGAAGAAAGAAAAGAGAGCTCAAAACAAATCAATGCATATGCAAGTAAATAATAAGAAAGATCAATGGGGAAAAGATGAATTTTTCTATAAATGTTCTAAGAAATTGAATATACATTGGTGCTGAATAAAAATCTGTCTTTTGAGCTCACTTTACTATTACTCTAAATATCAATTCCAGGTGTATCACAGATTTAAATATAAAATTAATTTAATATAATACTTAGAACATAATTTAAGACAATAATTTCACAATATGGGGCAGTGTATTATTTCTAAAACTAGACTTAGGATACATCTTCCATATAAGAGAAAAAACATATTCTAACATCCTTGTGAGCAAGGACTCTGGAGACAGATTGACTCAAACTCAGGACCTTCTATTAATATTTCTTTCTTGGCCGGGCACAGTGGCTCACGCCTGTAATCCCAGCACTTTGGGAGACCGAGGCAGGTGGATTATCTGAGATCAGGAGTTCTCAACCAGCCTGGCCAACATGGTGAAACCCCATCTCTACTAAAAATACAAAAATTAGCCGGGTGTGTTGGTGCGTGCCTGTAGTCCCAGCTACTCGGGAGGCTGAGGCAGGAGAATCACTTGAACCCAGGAGGCAGAGGTTGAAGTGAGCCAATATCGTGACACTGCACTCCAGCCTGAGTGACAGAGTGAGACTCCGTCTCAAAAAAAAAAAAAATGTATGCACATAACAAAAATGGGTCAAACTGCAAGGAGAAACAGATGAATTCACTATTATTGTTGGAGACTTCAACACCTTCTATTAAAAACAGACAGATCCGGCCGGGCGCAGTAGCCTCATGCCTGTAATCCCAGTACTTTAGGAGGCTGAGGTGGGCGGATCACGAGGTCAGGATTTCAAGAGCAGCCTGACCAACATGGTGAAACCCAATCTCTACTAAAAATACAAAAATTAGCTGGGTGTGGTGGCAGGCACCTGTAATCCCAGCTACTTGGGAGGCTGAGTCAGGAGAATCACTTGAACCTGGCAGACAGAGGTTGCAGTGAGCCAAGATCTCGCCATTGCACTCCAGCCTGGATGACAGAGCGAGACTCCGTCTCAAAAAAAAAAAAAGAAATAATAACAATAATAATAAATTTTTTTTAAAAAAGGACAGATCCAGCAGGCAGCAAACAAGTACACAGTTGAACTAAACAACACCATCAGTCAACTGGGGATAATTGATATCTACAAACTACTTTGTCCAACAAATGCAGATTACACATTCTTCTCAAGACCACATGGAACATTCACCAAGACAGACCACATTCTTGGTCATAAAAGATACTTTAACAATTTTTTTGGGGACAGAGTCTTGCTCTGTTGCCCAGGCTGAAGTGCAGTAGCACAATCTTGACTCACTGCAACCTCTGCCTCCCTGGTTTAAGTGATTTTCCTGCCTCAGTCTCTGAGTAGCTGGGATTACAGGTGCACGCCACCATACCTCGCTAATTTTTGTATTTTTAGTAGAGACAGGGTTTCACCACGTTGACCAGCCTGGTCTAGAACTCCTGAACTCAAGTGATCCACCAGCCTCAACATCCCAAAGTGCTGGGATTACAGGCGTGAGCCACCATGCCCGGCCTGAATAAATTTAAGAAAATAGAAATCATGAAACATCTATTCTCAGACCACAGTTAATTTAAAGTTGAGATCAATACTGGGTGTCAACAGGGAAGTTGGAAATTACACAGACAGTGGTGCCTCTTGTATTAGGAAATGTTTCACTCGTATCACTCTTCATTCCACAGAGTGATGTTAAGATATACATGACTCTGGATCAAGATCTGATTCAGAAAAATTAGAATATCATTGTATCCTTAGAAATTCATTGACAAATTAATTTCAACATGTTTTCATTTTTATGTAAATAAAAGCTACATCTTACCAATTCTGAAGGGCTTTTTCAATGAGTATAAAATAAGGCTATTATGAGTCAAATATTATAATTGACAGAGACAGTATATTTTTTTAGAGATATTATCCATTTTAAATGTTTGATTCACTGACTTCTAGTGGATGTCCCCTATGGAAACTTCTACAGATACTGTACATAGGCCAATTCTGACCTTCTCTTTAGCATTACAAATGCCAATAAAATTATCTATCTCTCTGTGAGTTTAGCTTACATTGGTCTTTATTCTCCTTTACACTGTGAACAAGAAGCATATAGCCAGGGATGGAGTGATCATCGAGAATTTGCAGGAGGAATGAATCAAGATGTTATGGAAAAACTAATAGGAACTGGACATGCCTTATCACACATAAATAAAAAAATGGACAAAGAATATGAAACTTTTTTAAAGTACTGTACACCAAATGATGGAGAACAATGATACCTGGAAATACACAACAATGATGTGAGTGAAGCCTACTATTGCCCAAGTTTACTGCTTTGAGAGTTTCCCAGCTGTGATGTTGTAAGGACCTTGGCAGGCTTTCCGAGTTGAGAAGATGGAACTGAGAGCATAGAAGAGCGAGGTGGCCTGACTTCATCAAGCCATCATGTCCAGTGGTAAGAACAGAAGAGAGAAGTCACACCAGCGTTCATGAGGCAGGGTATCCCTGTGTCATCATTACTTCACCAAAACATGGGTCACAGAACTAAAGGAGCAGTACAGAAGAAAAAGTGAGAAACAAGTAAAATTCATTTAAATAAACTTGGCCTTCAATGCTTTCATCTTATTCCTAACTTCAAAAAGAAATGACCCAGCCATCTTGCAATAAGCCCAAGCGATGAAGGGGATGCCCCATCAGAGCTGAAGGAAATGATGCCTATAAGCAGGTAAAACCTCCCCACCTGGACCCTAACCTGCCTTTCCTATGATGTCTTATGTTTGCTGATAAGATTACCATAATGGAATAACTCAAATAGAGCTTTCTATTTATAAGAGACTTATAACCATCCTTTTGATGGTTGCCATCAAAAGGAGAAACCAGTAAGGCTTACCTTCTCTATTTGTTTCCTCAGAATACTTCCAGTTTCCTTTAAGTTGGAATCATCTTGTCTCCATTCTTCTCTAAATAAATGCCACAGTCAAAACAGTATGCATAGAATATAGGGTTGCTATTTATATTCAGTAAAATTAAAATTAATGATGTCAGGCTCTAATTCAATAATAGAGTGAAGATGACAGGCCATTTTTTTTAAACTAAGATCTGGACTTTAAATTCCCTGGATACAGTACCGACCTCAGAGCCCCTGACTGAAGTCTTACCTGGCAAAACAAACACCAAGTTATAATAATATTTTATAAATAATAATTTGGAGTAACCAAAAAGTATCAGTGTTCTTGCTCTGTAGGTTGCTAACACCTCATAAATCCTGAACAGATCCTTCCAGAATAGTTTGTACACCATTAGATGGAGGACTCATTACTTGCATAGCAGACATATGCCGTTGAGTCTCTAAGATACTCATCCTCTAGGAATGCTCACTCACAAGAAAATGTGTTCCTCTCAACACAGTCTTGCTGACATTAGAGATTTCCACATTGCAGTCACTAAATAGATTGTACTCTGCTTATTGAAGCCCTGAATTGTTTCTGTCCTCTTGTTGCTTTTGTGTCTCTTCACAGTTTCAGGTTCAATAATCCCTTCTTTACTAGTCAGGATAACCAGCTTTCTCTTCATATGCAAAGTACATTAGAAGAGAGTCAGAGCTTCAGACAAAAACAACAGACATCAAAAGATCAGATCAGAAATAGAAAGATGGGCAACTTATTGTCAATAAAAATGGTAATCCGAAAAAGAAACATGCATGAAAACCTCTTTGAAACATGCTATGTGATAAAACAAAATAAGTACTTATTGTAATTATATTTCTACAAGACCGTAATCTAAAAATATTTGCTGCCTGGAGACGCATTTGCCAATTTTCTGAGTGGCATTTTTTATTTAACTGAAAACAATTTTCGTATTTACTCATCAAAGAGAATTTATATCTGTTTTATGAGCCATCTGTTCAAGGAAATGCCATGCACACATTTACAAAAATGAGGAGCAAGCAATTGAGGACTTTAGCCAATGTTTATAGCTTTTGGGTAAGATGAAAAGCTGACAATATGATGAAATTCATGCTTACACAGCAACAACGTGGCAGGTCTGTGCATTCAGAAAGGTGGTCTCGGAGTTCATTCATACAAGTTAAAGCCTTTGTGAACATCTGACAATCAGAGAAAATTCATCTGTGCAATAAAAACATTCAGAGCTCTTTTTAAGCAGGAGACTGAGCAGACTTTTCCTGTGACTCCCAGTAAAGTCTCTGTCCCTCACCTTTCCAACCAGAGGTATTACAGAGGAAATTTCTGGAAAATCCTCAGAGAATGTATAATATATGTCTTTAAAATAATAAAAGCGATATTATCTTTTAATATAGTGAAGAGTGATACCTGAAAACATGGAAATAATTGAAACGATTATTTGAAACCTAATGAAAAAAAATGAATGCATGCATTTTAAATCACAAGTATGAAAGGCCTTAATATAGAAAACAGAATGTGGATTTGCTTGTAGATGATGTTTATGTTACGAATAAAATGAAAATTTATACAAAAGTTTTAAAAACATTCGTGAGCGCCTCTCTGCCCACCCACCCCCACCTAAAAAAAGCAAAAGCACATATTACCAAGCAAGGCCCTAAGGGGTAACGAGTCCTGTCTTTGGTCAACAGGCAAAATCACTGTTGAACAAACTTGTTCTTTATATGAAAACAAGTTATTACCTCCACTGACTCCTGAGGAAAGGCAGGGAGCAGCTGCCCTTGCCGGTGCAGACCCCACAGAGAGGATCTGAGCTCCGCTGCACCAGCTGCTGCCGGCATCGGTGGGCGTGGTCTGGAGGAAGCAACCCACCACCCTTGGCGTGTCTGCGCCCGCGCACAAGGTACTGGGGTTGTCTGTGCAGGTTCCTACCACTGCTGGCTGTTGCTAGGGGAGTAGAAAGTCACTGAGTATCCTAAAAGCAGGGAAAGAAAATCAGGAGTCCTGACAGCAAATGGAATTCACTGAGAACGTTAAACACACGCACACACAATAAAGCAGAAAGTATCTCGGGAGAATTGCCTAAGATTCACAAGGACATTAGAGACATTAGTGTCGACATTAATCTTGAAAGTTCTAACCTCCGCTTCCTTCAAGATACAGCTGGGAATCCTGGTGTAGGTGTAAGGTGTGCAAATTTTCACCCTTCTTTTACTTCATTATAGAACAGTACAGTGGACAACAGAAAGGGCACTGGAGGAAAATTCTTGCATTAAATGAAGGGACTAACTCAGTATTTGCACAAAGATGGAGAATATCAATGGAAAAAAATTAAAGAGAGCTTAAAAACGAACACATGCATATATAGGCAAATAATATATAAGATAAATTAGTGGGGAAATAAATTTTCAATAAATGTAGGGATGTGAATATGCGTCATTGGAAATAAAATCTACCGTCTCACATTACACACATAACCTATTCCAAATGGATCACAGACCTAAATATAAAAACAATTTAATACATTATTTAGAACTTAAAAAGATAGCTTCATGACTGTGGTGAAGAGTAACAATTCTTAAACTAAACCTATAAAGTATTTACTATATAAGATAAAAGATACTCTAACATATTTGATGTGAGCAAGCATTCTGGAAACAGGCTGAGTCAAGCTCAGGTTTTTCTGTTTATTTCTTGTAGGACTTGGGCTTAGATTCAGAATTGGATCACGGGAGTGGTGTTACTGTCTCCCTCCTGAGATGCTGTGAAGATTGAATGAATTAATAATACATCAAGCATGTAGAATAATACCAGGTGTATACAAACCACTGAATGATCATTTGTTAATACTAAAAGCATTTTCTAAAAATTGTATGATGTATCAATCACATCAATTGTAAAATACATCATTATTTTACTGATCACAAAGAATAAAATCACTGACAAACTATGACTCGGATAATACTTATCATTTATAATATGTTATAAATATTGAGAAAACTTTTTATAATTTGTAAAAATATGGATATTTGTTTCAGATTACTTCCATGATTATGTGGGATGGAAAAAAAAAGTTAAGTACAATATATCCACAAAGATATTTCTAAATTTCTCTCATTTGGGTAAAACTCTTCTACGTAACTTTGCAGCTCATCCTCTCCATGACCTTCCCCATATTATCATCATCTGTGTCAATCAGCAGCTTTGGCTATGCCACATTTCTTGTGAGATTCCTAAGTCACTCTCCAGGAGATTATCTTTCCAACCTCCTGACAGCCACTCTGCAGGTTTTGAAGCTGATGATAGCATCATAAGATGTCAATGAAAGGTTTTAGATAAAGTTCATGCATGTTCACATGAGGACAAACACATTATGACTGCCTCCTGGCTAATCCTATTTGACACTATGCATTTTAAGATGCATTTATATTTGAAAGATGTGAAAACATGCACTCTAGCATTAATAGAACACACTATTTTTCCCTCTTACATTTCACAGTGTGAAATCATAGTGGCTCATCTGCCATATTCTGATTCGTTTTCAAGGAAACATGCTTCAATATGAATTTCATATAAGTTGACCAGTTCCACTTACCTTCTACCTAGCTATTAGAATTAGAGATATTAAAGTTACTAGTGGAGTACCAGAATTCCTATTTGACATGTTATACTGAATTATTAAAATTGTATATTGCCTCAGCATCCATTTTGTCTGTAAGATTAACTTGCTCACAACAGAAGCAGGACTTAGTCACCTGTGACACAGTTTCCAGTTCTCTGCTTCCTCCCAGTTCCTTAATGTGATCAATTTGGATATCTATCATGTAGAGTCTATCTATGGGACAGCTAGACACAGCCTACTTTATTCCACACACCAATCCCCACACCCTATGTGGACTGTACAGATATGCCACAGTTGCCATCTCACACAGTGTGACTCCATGGAATTCATGCCTGCTTGCTGTAAAGTGACCAGTTAACACTCCCTGCGGGAAACCTGCTTAGCAACAGGCTTGACCCCAATACAAGTTTTGGCCCACAAGACTCTCTCTCCCTCTGTCTTTGCTCCCCACCTGCTGGCTGTAGGAGTGTGTCCAGGGAAGCTCCTTCCTTCCCGTTTGCCCTCTGAGGTGTGCTGCCTTCTTCTTTATGGGATTTATAAGTCATACACTGTTTCTGTTATTTCATATGGTGAGTTTCCTTCTTTGCATCTCACTTGACCAGCACACCAGAACCTAATTTCTTTTCCAATCAAGGGTCTCCTACACAGTGGCTATCTTGGTAGGAATAAACTGGACCTAGGTAAGACAAAGGACACAAGCATGTCTGCCAGTCCAAACCTTCCCTCTGATGGAACAACTAATCAGGGGTCAGACATTAGGCATTAGGCCATCCACCAGGATAAAGAAGTATCCTGTGATAGGCACATTGTAAACACCATGAGTACCTCCCTTCGAACTCCATTAGGGCAGTGCTAGAGTTTATAGACACCCTCCAGAGACAGGCCCCAAGACCAAACTAGAAATGACAAAAATACAACAAATATGGAGAGGTAATTTTTGTTTGTTTGTTTTGTTTTTGAGACGTATTTTCACTCTTGTCACCCAGGCTGGAGTGCAATGGCACGATCTTGGCTCACTGCAACCTCCGCCCCCCAGGTTCAAGCGATTCTCCTGCCTCAGCCTCCTGAGTAGCTGGGATTACAGGCGCCTGCCACCGCACCTGGCTAATTTTTGTATTTTTTTGTTTGCTTGTCTTTTGTTTTGTTTTGTTTTGTTTCTGTTTTTTGAGAAGAAGTCTTAGTTCTGTTGCCAGGCTGGAGTGCATCTCGGCTCACTGCAATCTCCGCCTCCCAGGTTCAAGCGATTCTCTTGCCTCAGTTTCCTAAGTAGCTGGGACTACAGGCATGCGCCACCACGCCCAGCTAATTTTTTGTATTTTTTAGTAGAGACAGGGTTTTGCCATGTTGGCCAGGATGATCTCGATCTCTTGACCTCGTGATCCACCTGCCTCCCAAAGTGCTGGGATTACAGGTGTGAGCCACCATGCCTAGCCATTTTTGTATTTTTTTGTAGAGACAGGGTTTCACCATTTTGGCCAAGCTGGTCTCAAACTCCTGACCTCAGGTGATCTGCCCATCTCGGCCTCCCAAAGTGCTGGGATTACAGGCATGAGCCACTGCACCTGGCCAGACAGGTAATTTTATAACATAAGGTTCCAAAAGTTTCCGGAGAAGGAATATAATGCCAAAGGGTTCGATGAAAGTTTGCATAAGAGTGGTAATCTAAAGATTTAGAAAACGTTGTGTCTTGAGAAATCCTGTTCTAATCTTAAAAAATATGAGCAATACTCCCTATAAGTGGCACTCCAAGTCTAATTATTCAATCTAATAGATATACATTAGTATATCTATATTTTAGATATAGATTCACATTCACAGTAGTCCTTCTAATCACACGGTCAGCATACAATGGCTTTATGATCAATCAGCACAGAAGTAGATGTATTATGTTTTCCATAAAATGTTTTCTCTTCCCCATTGCTACTATGAACAACCCTATTTTTGGGTAATTGATTATCTAATGGGCTTTCATGTTCCCTGATTAATATATGGATTAAATCATAAATTCATATAATTAATGATTTAATGACTTAGGATGTTGAATGCATTTACACCTAGAGTTGGAGGCTTCAGGAAGGCTGAATTAAGATAACAGCAAGTCCTGATCTTCACTGGACTCTATCTTCTATTCAGGCTGCTGTGGAGACAGGGTGTAGGGTTCTTACCTCACGACGTGGTCTGACTTTGGGATGTTTTCAATAGCATCTTTCTGAGAATTCTAGTGTCCAGGCCAGCTCTGTGAAATCGACTCTCCTTTAGTGGGTTATGGGGAATCAAATCTTCTGCACTATCAGAGAGTCATGTTTGGGCATCTGGTGCTCAGGACTGTGTCCTCTGTGCCTGAGATATCATATTGGTACAGTTTTGTGTCTATTACCTGCCACATCTTAACCTTTAGTACTTGGTGCTTGATGACCGCTCATTGGCCAGGTTGAGGTGGGTCCCTTCTTGTTCACATCTACTTGTGGCTGTTCATCTCCTGTAACTTTGCTCCTCCACCTTTTTTTTTCTGAAAAGTTTGGTCAGGGATAATATTCATAATCTACATCATCATATATTTTAATGTATACATTAAAAGGAAAATGAGATTTGACAAGTCACTTAGCTATTATGGAGGCTCCAGTTAAAATAAAATGAACTGAATAACTCTCCATGTTTTAAGATTAGGAATTTAAATAAGTCTGTCTTTTCTCAAGGAGTGGAGTATCAGCTCAGAGGGGTGACAAGGTGTCTTAATTTATAAACGCCCCAAATCATAGCCCCTAAATATTTGCTATCCCAATCTCAGAAGCAATGCATGTGGTCTGGGTTAGCTGTATCTCTCACTCCAAGTCCCCAAGCCTCAGGAGCTAGCTTTATCCCTGAAGCTATGAATGTGTATGGAGAATATACCTCATTATTACAGACAGTAAATATAGGAGTCTTGACTTGGTAAATGTCCATGGTAGTGCGTTCCCATGTCGTGGCAGGCTTTGTGGGCATGGCTCCTGCACACAGCCCTGGTGATACACAGCAGAGTGCTGTGGCCTGTGAACAGGGAGCTGTGTGGGGGATGAGGGGGACAGTCCTCCCTGCTGTGGGAATCTTTGTTTAGCCAGTATATATGCAGAGTCACCATTCAGCCTGTGTCCATCTCTTAGATCACTGCATGGTGTGTTGGGGATACACTGTATGTGTGTTGTTCTTCTATTTTTTGTTTTCCTTGCTAAGATTTTTCTATCTGTGAACAACAAATTATGAATCACTAATTTGCCTTCATTAGCCAAGAACCTGGTGTATAAAGATTCATTTCCAGGTCTGTGTAAGCAGGAACTGGCCTAAACCACCATGTATACAAGTTTTTTTGTTTTGTTTTTTTTTTTTTGAGATGGATTCTCGCCCTGTTGCCCAGGCTGGAGTGCAGTGGTGCAATCTCGGCTCACTGTAACCTCCGCCTTCTGGGTTCAAGCAATTCTCCTGCCTCAGCCTCCTGAGTAGCTAGTATTGCAGGTGCGCGCCATCATGCCTGGCTAATTTTTGTAGTAGACAGGGGGTTTCACCATGTTGGCCAGGCTGATCTCCAACTCTTGACCTCGTGATCTGCCTGCCTCGGCCTCCCAAAGTGCTGGGATTATAGGTGTGAGCCACTGCACCCGGCCACAAGCTTTCTTTTTTAAAGCTAGCCTACCTGCTACCATGATGATATCTATTATGTGGCTTTGAAGCTTGACAATGCATAATTTAATTCCATGATAAGAGTGTCAGTGAAATACCTGAACCCAGAAAATTCCAGAAAAGTCTTACAATAAACAGAATTGAATTATTACAGGGTTTTATTATAGGGCTGAAAGTATGGTTGTCTTTTGGAAACTTGGAAGAAGGAAACCCTGTACCAGGGAAATACTCTCCTGAATTCAGAAATAAAATTTATGTTCTCCATAATTGAAATTTCTCAGTATTAGCTTTTAATGTCCAGAAGTCATGTGTTCCAAAGAGGCTTTAGTGGTATCCTGCAGATTCACTTACAGATGTTGTCTGAAAATGGGGTTTTCTGGGATAGGTGATGCATGGCCACCACTCTTTGAAGAAGTGGTTACTGACACACAAACTGGTGACTGGGTATTGGGGAGTGTGATGGTAAGGAAAAAAAACTGATGAGTTGAGGAGGTTTTCTTGAAGAAAACTTTTTTTCTTCTTGTGAATAGGTAAGAAGAACTATTTTTCCCATTTTCTATCTGCATGCCTATTAATCTCCTTAGTGCAATGGGGTTTTTAACTATCTTCGTTTTTCTGTACCAAAATAATACTTATTTATTTTGAAATAATTTTAGGTTTGGAGCCTGTTGCAACAATAGTATAGAGAGTTTTATATATGCTTCAGCTTCCTGTAACGTTAACATTGTATATAACCATAGTATATTTATGGAAACTGAGAAATTGGCAATGATACAAAACTAGTAACTCAACCATGGAATTTCCTCAGATTTTGCCACGTTCTCTACTAATGCTATTTCTCTGTTCCAGGATCCAATATGTGATACCATATTAAATTTACTGTCAGGTGTATTACCTATTTATTGCAGCATAACAAATTAGCACATAACTTAGTACATAAAACCTCGCACCCATGTATCATCTCACAGTTTCTCCAGGTCAGGAACCCAGATGTAGTTGATGGCCAAGGCTAAGGTCTCAACTGAAGGCTCAAGTCATACGGATCCTCCTCTCAGCTCACACAATTGCTGTTAGGATCCAAATCTTGTCCAGGTCAAGATGACTTTACTGATGAATTATTCCAAAAGTTTAAATATTTAATATTAAATCTTCAAAAAACCCTTACAAATAAAACCAAAATACAGAATGGAACAGATCACTCCTCAACTCATTTGTAAGGCTAGTTTGCCCTTAGACTACAACCAGAAAAAGGTATTACATGAAAGGAAAATTACAGACTAACATGCTTTATGAATACAGAGGCAAAAATTCTCAAGGAAATACAAGCAAATTAAATCCTGTTGATATAGAAGTGGGGCAAGGAAGCGCTGGGAAGGAAAAGGTGTGGTCCCAGGCTAGGGCTCCACTCCTGGGCCTGTGCCCATGGACCTAGGTGAGGACAGGCATTTCTGTTTTCCTGCCCAAATGTTGCATTTCCCAAGACCACCCTGGCCTGCCATGTCCCCATCCTGTGGCTATAAAAATCCCGAGACCCTTGCGGGCAGAGACACAAGTGGCTGGACGTCAAGAGGACGTTGAGGGGAGCATGCCAGCAGAAGAGCACACTGACAGATGCCAGCAGGCCAGCAGGCCATCGACCAGCAGAACGACACAGTTTGGCCGGGGTAGTTGGAGAAGAGCCCCAGCTGCTAAGTGGCCCGACTTCAGGGGAAAACCACCTTCCCACTCCATCACCCTTCTGGCTCCCCCATCTGTTGAGAGCTACGTCTGCTCAATAAGATCTTGCGCTCATTCTCCAAGCCCACGTGTCCTCCAATTCTCCCAGCCGGGATACAGAAAGCCTTTTGTCCTCGCAATAAGGCAGAAGGTCTAATTGAGCTGACTAACCCAAGACACCTGCGACAGCTAAACTAAAAGAGCACCCTGTAAAACATGCCCACTGGGGCCTCAGGAGCTGTAAACATTCACCCCTAGACACTGCTGTGGGGTAGGAGCCCCACAACTGGCCCGTCTGTATGCTCCCTCTAGGGGTTTGAGCAGCAGGGCACTGAAGAAGCTAGCCACTCCCACATCGCATGCCCTGAGAGGGGGTAAGGGAACTTCTGCGACTTAAAGGGATTTTCCTAAGCATGAACATTTTTTTCCAATATACAAATACGAAAAAAATAAAATAAATAAAAACAAGTAAGGCTGGGCACGGTGGCTCACATCTGTAATCCCAGCACTTTGGGAGGCAAAGGCAGGAGGATCGCTTGAGCTCAGATGTTCGAGGCTCCAGTGAGCTATGATCACACCACTGCACTCCATCCTAGGTGACAGAGTGAAACCCCCATCTCTCTCTAAATAATTTTTTTAAAAGATAAGTGGAAAAATCCCATCTCCATTGATCAGAAGGCTTGATATTGTTAAGATGACAATACTTACACAAATAGTTCAATGCAGCTTTACGGGTTCAATGCAAGTTATCTCTTCAAAAATTGGTCAAAATCCCAGCTGCCTTATTGTTTGCAATAATTTACAAGCTGATTCTAAAATTTGTATGGAAATGCAAGAGATCCAAAAAAGTGAAAAGCAATCTAGAAGAAGAAATATATGCCAGCACTTTGGGAGGCCAAGGTGGGAGGATCACTTGAAACCAGGAGATTGAGACCAGCCTTGGCTTACTACAAAGTGATAGTAATCAAGACAGTGTGCTATTGCTTAGTACAAAGACAGACATACAGATCAATGCAATGGAATTGAGAGCCCCAAAATTAACCCTTACACTTGTAGTCAAGATTTTACAATGTTACCAAAACAATTCAATTTGCAAAAATATTTTTTTCAACAAATGTTGCTGGCACAAATGGATAGCTACATGCAAGTTGGATGCCAATATACCTAAGTGACTCAAAATGGATCATAGACATAAATGTAAGCACTAAAACTACAAACCCCAATAGGATAACATTGGTATAAATTTCTCTGGTCTTGGATTAAATAATGCTTTCTAGAATATGACACCAAAAAAACTGACAAAAAATAGATAAATTCACAAGAAAAGCTGTTTAATACCTTTAGTCATTAGGTGATATAGTTTGGATATTTATCCCTTCCAAATATAATGTTGAAATGTGATCCCCAGTGTTGGAGTTGGGGTCCGGTGAAATGACCCATGGGGTGGATCCCTTATGAATGGCTTGGTGTTGTCCTTGTGGTAATGACTTAGTTATCACTCTATTAGGTTACCAAAAGATCTGATTGTTAAAAACAGCCTGGCACCTCCCCTACTCTCTCTTGCTGTTTCTCTTGTCATGTGACAAGCCTGCTTCCCCTTTGCCTTCCACCATGATTGGAAGCTTCCTAAGGCCCACACAAGATGCTGCCAACAACACTATGCTTCTTACACAGTTTTCAGAACTCTGAGCCAAATAAACCTCTTCGCTTTATAAATTAACCCAGATTTAGGTATTCCTTTACAGCAATGCAAAATGGACTAATACATTAGGGAAGTGCAAGTCTAAACCACCATGAAATGTACTGCACAAATCTTAAAGGCATATTGCTAAGCGAAATAACCCAGTTTGAAAAGACCACATCTCTATATTTCAGTTTATATGAAGCTCTTGAGTAGATGAAACTATAGAGATTATAAAATACTAGTGTCTACCAGGGACTTAGGAGAGAGAAAGGTCGAATGGGTGAGGTACTGGGAGTTCTTAGGGCAGTGAAAAGTTTCTATAATGAAACTGTAATGGTGAACACATGATACTGTATTTCAAATTCCACAGAACTTTATGACACAAACAGTGAACCTAAATATATGCAAATTAAAAAATATTTAGTAAGTTGGGGTTTCCTAGGGAGGGATGCTAACAAAATGAAATAAGTGTACTAAACATGCATAAAATAATCTCACTGAAGGGAGTGGAGGGGGATAAGGGGGGTGGCTTATAAGTACAGATTCTAAATCCAAAGGCTTAAAGACATATATAACCACTGTACTTATTTAGTAAAGTTGTTTCCCAAGAGGATATGAATTATTGATTCTGAAACAGCAATATATGTATTTTGGAACTGAATGATAAAGGAAATGGAGTCAAATTTCTCATGGTTAGAGTATGAGGTTACATATAAGACAGTGAGAGTGGGTAGATTTATTCAGATTAATTCATGTGCTACTGGATTAGGTCATGTGTGCTGGAGACATTAATAGAAATTCATGTTTAATTTAATATAGATAATATGGACATGTGTAGAAATATTTGTAGAAATGAGTACACGTGTGAGCTACTGTAAAACCAAATATTTATTTGTTTTTTCATCTGACAAGGTCTGTGCCAAATTGCACACACTGTGTCCACATCTTCATTTCCAATAGCATTTTCCAATAAATGAATCAGGTCTCCCTGAAGAAATGGTGAATACTAGCCATGGGAAGGGAATAAACACAATGACCCTGGAGCATAAGGTAGTGCTAGAAACCAAGAAAAATTTAAACAAAACCACAACAACACAAGCAAACAAAGAAACAAAATCAAACCACAATGATATGTGTATTTCAAAATGAAAGAAGAGCCAACTGAAAGACCTTCCAATGAACAACAATGGAAAAATCTGAGCAACAAATAAATAAAACAGTATAAGAATAAAATAAATATCCAAGATTTCATGTTCATATACATGAGTGAATAAATAAGTAAAATGATGGAGAACAGATAAATTATCAAAGCTGAATAAAATTCCAAATGGTTTTTGTGGTAACCTGCCCATGAGGAAGTGGAGCTTGACTCTCCTCTGCTCAGTACGTGCAGGGCACAGGGACTTCTTTTCAAAACATATCACATAGAAAGGGGAATAAATGGTGATTACACATGGTATAAATCTGATAAAACTACTCCATCCAGATGATCAAATTAATATCAATCATGATAAAGCATGTTGATAGTACATAACCTTGATATGGTATGAAGAGAATGGCACGTTCCTTCTGTGGTCTTCTTCCCCTTCACCCTTAACACCTGTCTAAATATGAGAAAAACAGCAGACAAATCCCACGTGAGCAATGCCAATGTCATCACTAACACAGAAAGCCTGACAAACTCTCACAGCCAAAAGGAGCCTAAAGAAACTTGATATCTAAATGTGATGTATCCTGGATGGGATCTGGGAGAGTAAATTGACATTAAGTAAAATCTAAGGAAATGGGAATAATGTTTAGATGTTAGTGAATGATCATATATATGAGTTCATTAATCATGACAAATGTGCCCCACTAATGTAAAAGGTGAACAATAAGGGAATCTATGTGCTGGTATGTGGAAATTATTTTCAAAACTGTTATGTAAACATAAAACTATTCTAAATAAAAAATATAGTTCTCATTTTTTTAAAAATTTCACTGTGAGTTTAGTAAACAAGTTATTAGAAATATAGCTGATGCCGGAGATCAACACCATCCTGGCTAACACGGTGAAACCCCGTCTCTACTGAAAAAAAAAAAAAATACAAAAAATTAGCCAGGCGTGATGACAGGCCCCTGTAGTCCCAGCTACTCGGGAGGCTGAGGCAGGAGAATGGCATGAACCTGGGAGGCGGAGCTTGCAGTGAGCTGAGATCGTGCCACAGCACTCCAGCCTGGACAACAGAGCGAGACTCCATCTCAAAAGAAATAAAAAAATAAAAAAAGACATATAGCTGATGCCCCCAGAGTGCATCTCCCTAATTCCATACATTCCTTACCCACTGAAGGTAAGATGAATTCTCTATTTCTTATTTCCTGCTTTTCTTTATTATTTTTCTCTCTAGGTTTGTATTTGTAAGTAATGTATACTCAATATTTATTGTCTTCAAACTTAGATATATGCCAGTGTCTAAATTAATCCATATTCCTAGTTTAATTGTGAGAAACCATCAGACAAACCCATATTGTGGGACATTCTATAAAATGCCTGACCAATGTTTTTCAAAAGGGTCAAATAAAAATATACAAATAAGCGAAGATTAAGAAACTGTTGCAGATTGCAGAAGACTTGATACGGCAGGTACACCCTATGATGGCACCCAAAGATCCCCTCCTCTTGATGTACACAACCTTATATTCAAATCCTTTCCATTTGAGTGAGGTCAGAAAATGTGACTGCTTTAAGACATTTATG
Source organism: Homo sapiens (assembly GCF_000001405.40). NCBI lineage: Eukaryota > Metazoa > Chordata > Mammalia > Primates > Hominidae > Homo > Homo sapiens. The sequence goes on along the minus strand of NC_000015.10, from coordinate 23,900,860 downwards.
CAGCCAAAAAACACATGAAAAAATGCTCACCATCACTGGCCATCAGAGAAATGCAAATCAAAACCACAATGAGATACCATCTCACACCAGTTAGAATGGCAATCATTAAAAAGTCAGGAAACAACAGGTGCTGGAGAGGATGTGGAGAAATAGGAACACTTTTACACTGTTGGTGGGACTGTAAACTAGTTCAACCATTGTGGAAGTCAGTGTGGCGATTCCTCAGGGATCTAGAACTAGAAATACCATTTGACCCAGCCATCCCATTACTGGGTATACACCCAAAGGACTATAAATCATGCTGCTATAAAGACACATGCACATGTATGTTTATTGTGGCATTATTCACAATAGCAAAGACTTGGAACCAACCTAAATGTCCAACAATGATAGACTGGACTAAGAAAATATGGCACATATACACCATGGAATACTATGCAGCCATAAAAAATGATGAGTTCATGTCCTTTGTAGGGACATGGATGAAATTGGAAATCATCATTCTCAGTAAACTATTGCAAGAACAAAAAAACAAACACCGCACATTCTCACTCATAGGTGGGAATTGAACAATGAGAACACATGGACACAGGAAGGGGAACATCACACTCTGGGGACTGTTGTGGGGTGGGGGGAGGGGGGAGGGATAGCATTGGGAGATATACCTAATGCTAGATGACGAGTTAGTGGGTGCAGCGCCGCAGCATGGCACATGTATACATATGTAACTAACCGGCACATTGTGCACATGTACCCTAGAACTTAAAGTATAATAATAATAAATAAATAAAAGATTTAACCAGAAAAAAAATGGAATATTGAAAGGCAAGGAAATATCATGTGGGTGATTATGTTACATAAGATTGTGATGTCTGTCTTACTAGCAAGCTCTCTTCCTTGATGGCTATGTGGGTGTATCCTGTCATGTGGGAGAAGCCAACATAGAATGGAACTGAAAGCAGCCTCTGGTCAATAGCCAAGCAAGAAATTGAGGCCCTTGTTCCAACAGACTGCCTTTGTGTTTTCAATACACATCTACAACAAACCCATGCTACCTTTCACACAGTGCTTCACAGGTAAGATGAGTACCATATCACACCAAAATAATCCCAATTCCTCCCTCCCATTCATTGTATTGTTGCTGTCATTATTGCCTGTGTATAATAATGCTTTTATACATATATATGCACAGATCATATCAAGCATATAGATAGATATAGACATATTTCAGGCATACTATATATATATGTATCAAGAATAAAGAAGGGCATTACAAAGTGAAAAATGGGTTAATTTTCCAAGATGTAACAATCCTTAACATGTATGTACCTAAAAGTGAACATCAAACTATGTGAAGGAGATCCTGATGGAACCACAAGGAGAAACAGATTAATCCAATATCATACCTGGATACTTCACCACTTGACTATTAGAAATGGACAAATCCAGCAGGCAGAAAATCTGTAAGGATATAGCTGAACTCGACAGTACCATCAATCAACTGTATATAATTATTATCTATCAACTATCTTATCCAACAATGAAAAAACGCACAATCTTTTTAAGACCACATAGACCATTAACCAAGCTAGGCAATATTTTTGGCCACAAAATCCAACTAAACAAATTTAAAATAGTAAATGCCATGTAATGTCTGCTCTTGGACCACAGTGGTGTTAAAGTCGAAATCAACATGAGAACAAACACTGAAAAATTCCAAAATTTGTAGTGATTAAACACACTTCAAATAACACATAGGTTAAAAAAAAAAAAGATTTAAAAATATTCTGAACTAAACGAGTGGAATTGAATGAAAGCAGAGGTTAAATTTCCAGCCCTGAATACATGTATGAGGAAGGAAGATACAACTGAAGTAAAAATGAACAAAGTTTCAACCATAGGACCCATAAAGAGGGAACACATTTCCAAAATTAGGCAGAAGAAAAGAGACATGCTAAGGCAGTAAAAACAGAACGGAAGCCACAGCGTTTTAAAAATGAATAATGATCGCTTCATAATTTCCAGAACACAGAAGTACCCAAATTTAACAAGAAACACACAACACCCCTTAAGGGGATGCAGAGGTGAGCCCCCATATGGGAAACAGTAATATTCAACAATGATCGACCAAACTTTGGGAGGCTGAGACGGGCAGATCACCTGAGGTCAGGAGTTTGAGACCAGCCTGACCAACATGGCGAAACCCCGTCTGTACTAAAAATACAAAAATTAAGTGGGTGTGGTGGCAGGAGAATTGCTTGAACCCGGTAGGTGGAGGTTGCAGTGAGCCGAGATCGCGCCACTGGACAGAGAGAGACTTTGTCTTAAAACAAACAAAACTAAACTAAAACTAAAACAAAAATAACCAATCAAAAGCATGCTAAGGCAGGGTTATTTCATTTATTTACTAAACTGGCAAATACTTTAAATATAATCCACCAATAAAAAAAATTAGGTAAGAGGCCAGGCGCCGTGGCTCACGCCTATAATCCCAGCACTTTGGGAGGCCGAGGCGCGCAGATCACCTGAGGTCAGGAGTTCGAGACCAGCCTGGGCAACATGATGAAGCCCCATCTCTACTAAAAATACAAAAATTGGCGTGGTGGCGGGCGCCTGTCATCCCAGCTACTCGGGAGGCTGAGGCAGGAGAATCGCTTGAACCCCGGGGGCGGCGTTGCAGCTTGTGTGCGAAATAGCACCACTGCACTCCAGCCTGGGCTACAAGAGTGAAACTCTGAAAAAATAAAAAAAGAAAGAAAGAGAGAGAAAGAAAGAAGGAGAAAGAGAAAGAAAGAAAAGAAAGAAAGGAGAAATTTAGGTAAGAAACTACAAATACATACACGTAAAGGGGGACATGTCTTAGAAGAGGAAACTGCAAGTATCTCTTAGGCTCAGAGGCACGCGAGGAAATGATGGGTTTTGAATGAAAATATCAAAGATTGAGGACATACAGACACAAATGGATGAACGTGCGTATGTCCACAAAGAAGCACCCCAGAACGCCACCGCGCCCTCTGCCCCTTCCTGCGCACCGCTTCCCGCGCCCGGTCCGCCTCGCCTGTGCATTCTGCCGGGTCTGGTCTCAGCGCAGCCGCTCCGCTCTCTGCACTTCCGGTCAGGCTGCGCCCAGCCCATCCGGTGTGGACGCCAGTTGGCGCACTGAGCGGGTCAGCCTGAATTCTGAATTTCCTCAGCTGTGGACCCCACCTGCACCCGAGGAGAGAGCCTCCACTCCTGTGGGATGAGGGGCTCTTAGGGCAAGGGAGTTGGATGGTGGGTTCTGAGCGAAAGGGAGGAGAACAAGAGAATCCAAGGTCCCTGAGCCTGCCCATCTGCAAGCGCAGGGACCCTGCCTGCCCCTCTCCTATCTTGCTCCTCCTCAGACCCCGCCCCACCTGCTGATGCCCAAAAGCCTCCTCGGTGAGCAGGGACCGTCCTGACTCATTCTGTTTTCTTAAGGCAGACCTCATGGGGTACCATTTTAAGGAATAAGACCCAGACATTCAAATCCACAGTATGCAGTCTGTGCAGTGCTCAGGGAGGGGCCCTCACTTCCCTGCCCAGTCCCTTCCTGCTCCTGCCTCCTCACGTATTACTCATCCCTGCGGTCCTTCCAATCCACTGCCCTCTTCTCATGCCCTGGCCTGTTCCACAGACACACTATTTCTTCTTCCCTTTACCTCCCCTATCTGCTGCACGTACTGCTCCCCACTCTCCAGCATCTCCTGCAATGCTCCTTCTCCTGGAGGCCCCACTTGTCCATCCCATTCCAGGCCTGATGCCTGTCCCATGAGTTCCCAAGGGCAGCTCTTCAAACTACAATTTAGAATTCTTTCAAGCTTTCTGAATCCCCTCTTGTCTGAAATATCAGAGAATATGGAAACTTTGCCCATGTGTTCCCCTATGTGCCCCACACATGTAAATGCACCAAAAGCAACACAGAAGAGTCTCCTCTATATTGTTTCACTAGTGAATTCATAAGAATCTGACCCTCTCTACGTCTATTCTTGCTAAATTCAAAATAAACTCCATGTCTCTTTCAGTCTGAGGAAGACTTGAAATTGAAGATGGGCATGTTTCTTTTCCTCTCTTCTGTTTTCAGGTCAGGATGTGAGCCCTGACTCCCCTCAGCCTCTTCTCCAGCCTCCCCATCCTGAATCCACTGCAGAGCACCTCTCATGGGCCACACTGTTTCTGCCTCATCTGAATTCCTTCTGTCCTTCTGGACCGTGTTGCCTGCCCCGCCTGCCCACCCACCACACCAAGTAAAATATTGTTTTCTAGATTTTGCTCTATTAATATGGATCCCTTGATAAATATTTCCCAATGCTTATTACTTACCCTATGTCACCAATTTTAGTATTGCTGTTTTTCAAATTTTGTCAGAATCACTGTTAGCCTCCTGTGAGCCATGACATGGTGTTTGTTGTCTACACATGGATGAACTTGTCTTGGAATTATCTGCTGCCCCCTTCCGGTGAGATCATCTGCATCAAAACTTGAACATAGGTGTCAGCAGGAGATGTGGAAATCACAAGGACAATGGTGAGGCCTCTTATATTCAGAAAGGTCTCATTGTCGACCATCCTGGCCAACATGGTGAAACCCCGTCTCTACTAAAATACAAAAAATTAGCCAAGTGTAAGTCCTAGCTACTCAGGAAGCTGAGGCAAGGGAATCTCTTGAACCTGGGAGGAGGAGGTTGCAGTGAGCCGAGATTGCACCACTGCACCCCAGTCTGGCAACAGAGCAAGACTCCATCTCAAAGAAAAAAAAAAGAAAGGTCTCATCTTCTTGCAACACAGAGTGATGTTAAGTCATCCATGACTCTGGATCAAAATCTAATTCAGAACAATCAGAATCATAATTTCAAGATATTTATGAATACATATATGAATTAATTTTAATATTGATTTCATTTTTATGTGAATAACTTATGCCTTTATAATTATAGAATAGCTCATTTAATATGTATAAAATAAGGATATTATATTTATAATCATTTGATTTACAGATATTATCCCTTCTTTTAGATCCATCTTAAACCTTTCATTCATTTGACATAGAGTTGATGTCCCCCAATGAGATTCCTACAAAAACAGTGTATTGATCAATTGATCAATTCTGACCTTTTTTTTTTTTTTTTTTGAGATGGAGTGTCACTCTGTGGCCCAGGCTGGAGTTCAATGAGCGATCTCGGCTAACTGCAACCTCTGCCTCCCAGGTTCAAGTGATTCTCCTGCCTCAGCCTCCCGATAGCTGGGATTACAGGCTCCCACCACCACACCCAGCTAATTTTTATATTTTTAGTAGAGACGGGGTTTCACCATGTTGGCCAGGCTGGTCCCGACCTCCTGACCTCAGGTGATCCACCTGCCTCAGCCTTTCAAAGTGCTGGGATTACAGGCGTGAGCCACCGCACCAGGCTTGACCTCCTCTTAAGTGTTACAAATGACAGTTCACTTGTCTGTCTTTCTCTGTGTTTGTTCTCATTGTTCCTTATGCACCTTAATATTGCCAGTTCTAAGTGTACAGCAAGAAGTATAGCAATTATTGAATAATTGTAGATAGAATGAATGAAAATCCTTTGGAAATACTGAGGGATTAGATTTGCCTCACTACATATAAAGATTAAAAATGGACAAGTATATTAAACCGTGGTTTAAAATATCCTGTGCATCAAGCAAGGAAGGACATTGATACCAGAGAGACATGAAACACTTATGTGAGCCCTACTATTTCCTCAGCTTGATGCTTTAAGAAAGTTTCCTGGCTGTGGTTTGGCAAGGATCTTGGATGACTTTCTGAATTCGGAAGATGGAACTGAAAGCCTGGAAAATCAATGTCATCAAATTGCATCAAGCCAGTCTCCACGTCCAGTATCAAGAATGAAAGACAATAATCATACCAGCTCTTATGAGACAGTGTTGCTATGTGCCATCATTATTCTATGAGATATGGGTTACAGAACTATGGGAACAGTTCAGAAAAACAGGAAACAGCATAAGACATTTGAAAGAACTTGGCCTTTGGCTGGGTGCAGTGGCTCACACCTGTAATCCCAACACTTTGGGAGGCCAAGGAGGGCGGATCACGAGGTCAGGAGATCGAGACCATCCTGGCCAACATGGTGAAACCCCGTCTCTACTAAAAATACAAAAATTAGCTAGGCATGGTGGTGCATGCCTGTAGTCCCAGTTACTTGGGAGGCTGAGGAAGGAGAATCACTTGAACCCTAGAGGCGGAGGTTGCAGTCAGTGAGCCAATATTGCACACTCCAGGCTGCGCTCCAGCCTGATGACAAAACGAGACTCAGTCTCAAAAAAAAAAAAGGACTTGGCCTTCAACCTTTTCATCATACTCCTGTCTGAAAAACAGACAGAGGCCTTTATATCACAAGGCCAGCTAGGGCATGACAAGCCCAGGATGAAGGGCAATCCATTATTGATGCAGGAAAAGATGTGTGTAAGCAGGCTGAACCACCCCACGTGGACCCCACCTGGCACTTCCTGTGATTTTTTTGGTTATGTGTGGCTGATATTTAAAAAGACTATATTTAGTTATGTATGCCTGATATTACTATTGTCAAAAAAGAGTAACATTTACCTTGTTTTATCAAGGCAAATGGTGGCAGGCCTGAATTCAACAATAGAGTTGTCTCTAAAAGAAAGACAAGGGGCTTGCCTCGAAAAAATTTTGTTTAAAATGCTCTTTCTCTGTTTGTTGCTAACATCTCATAAATCTTGTACAAATGTCTCTCATTTCCCCAGAATAATTTAAAGACCATTATACTAAGGATTTCATTACTTGAGTAGCAGACTATATAATTAATACATTTAAGTAGAGCTTTCTATTTATAAGAGCAGAACACAATTATCAACAAAAGAAGGAGAAACCAGTAAGGCGTATCTCCTCTATTTATTTCCCCGGAAAAACTCCAGTTTCATTTAAATTGGGAAATCATCTTCCTTTGCCTTTCACTACACAAATGCCACAGTCCACGTAGTTAGCATGGAATATAGAGTTGCTCTTTATACTAAGTTATATCAAGGTAAACGGTGGCAGGCCTGAATTCAACAATAGAGTGAAAATCTTTTAGGATCCTGTCTTGAAATTATCTGTATACAGTACTAAGGGTCAGTGTCTCTAACCGCGGCATTGCCTGGTAAAACAAATGCCCATCTATTAATTTGGTGTGAAAGTACTCATCAAGTATCTGTGCTAGCTAGGCATGGTGGCATGCACCTGTAGGCCCAGATACTCAGGAGACTGAGGCAGGAGGATAGCTTGAGCTTAAGAGTTCAAAGCTGCAGTGAGCTATCATCAACACACTGCACTCCAGCCTGAGCAATAAAGCAAGGCTTGTCTCTAATTTTTTTAAATGCTGTTGTTCTGTTTGTTGCTAAAATCTCATAAATCTTGTACAAATGTCCTTCATTCCCCCAGAAATAATTCAAAAAATATATTGAGGATTTCATTACTTGAATAGCAGACACACGCTGTAGAGTATAAGAGACCCACTTTGAAGGAAAACTTCTTTCACAAGATAATTTGTTCCCCTCAACACTGTCGTGCTGGCACTGGGACACTCAACAACCTTGCAAACCCGAAATAAATCCTAGTCTTCTGGTTGGAGTTCTGAATTGTTTCTGCCTTCTTGCTTTTGTGTCTCCTGGTAGTTTCAGGTGAGAAATCCCATCATTACAAGCCAAGACACTCAGCCATCTAATCACATACCAACTTCATTAGAGTCACCCGAAAGTTTCAGGCTAAAATAATGGACATCAGTAGACCCACTAAATAGAAAATGCGGGTAAATTATTGAATAAGTGAACAAAAATGATCATCTATAAGGGTCATAAACATGAAAACCTTTTACAATATTATGCTAGTAGATAAAAGAAAGTAAATAAAATATTTCAATTCCTTTATACCAGACCATATTACAAAAATATGTGCTGGCTGGAGACGTATGTACACATTATCTGAGTGGCTTTTTTTTGTTTTGTTTTTTTAACTAAAAACTATTTTAACGTTCACTCAATGAAAAGTAAGAAAGAACACATGTCTACATAATGGATCATCTGTACCAGTAGCTATAATATTATGGAGACATTTACAAAAATGTGGTACAAGGAATCAAGTATGACAGGCAATGCATACAGCTTTTGGGTAAGGAGAAAAGCAAAGAATATGATGATATTCACACTTGCAAAGTGTCGGTTCTGCACACTCAGAAGGCGTTTCTAGAAAACACTAACAGAGAATGTGCACCATCTGTCTTTCCTAATAAAAGTGATCTTCCCTTTCAACTTAGGAAAAAGTGATGCTTGAAAAGATGAAAATAATTGAAAAAGATTTTTTGAAACATTATTATGAATGTATTTTTAAATACAGATATGAAAGGTATTAATATACAATATAAACATACAAATTCAGTTGTAGATAATGTTTATATATGCCCCCCTAAAATATACATAAGTGTTGAAGATATGTGCATGCCAAGACAAACAGCGAGAGCATATATTTCAAAGCAAGGCCTGAGTGGGCATGTGTTTGGGGTCAGCAAGCAAGATGATTGTTGAACAAACTTGATCTTTATGCAAAATAATGGAATTGCCCAATCGACCTCAGAGAGAAGGCAGGGGGCAACTGGTCTTGCTCCTGCAGATCCCACAACAGGCTCTGAGCTCAGATGCACAGGCTGTGGCCCCATCCTTGGCAGATGTGGTCCAGAGAAGGAGCAGGACCAACCATCGGAGCATCTGTGCTTCCAAGGGAGACACGCAGAGGTGTCTGTGTATGTTCCTTCCCTGCTGGCTGCTGCTCTCAGAGTAGAAAGTTCCTAAGGCTCCAGAAAGCAGGGAAGGGAAATGAGGAGGCGAGAGATTGAATGAAATTCAGCGAGAATGTACTAAAAAAAAACAAAGTTGGAAGTGGCATGGGAGGACTGCCTAAGATTCACAAGGGTGTTAAAGACATAAGCAACAGTTAGTAGTGTTGTAAAATTCTAAAATATCCTTATTTGCGGTACAACTGGGAATATCAGTGTAGGTACAGGGCATGGAGGTTTTACTCTTCTTTTTCTTTATGACACCATAACACAGTGTTTAAGAAAATGGGCTTTGAGGGAAAAATTCTTCTGTTAAATGAACTTTCTTAAGAACAAGACAGTGTGGTATGTGCACAGAGATAGAAAAATAAATCAATGAAAAAAATAAGAGAGTTAAAACACACACACACACACACACACACACACACACACACATATGCATATCTAAGCAATTTATAAAGGAGAAAATTGGGAAAAGACTAGTTATCAATACTGTTCCAGGAAATGGAATATCCATACAGGGGAAATAAAATCTGACCTTTGAGCTCATGTTACACACAAAAAGCAATTCCAGGTGGATCACAAACTTCAAATACAAAAACAATTTCCAGTAGTTAGACCCTAACTTAGGAAAATAACTTTATTACCGTGATATTTCTTTTCTTTCTTTTTTTTTTTTTTTGAGATGGAGTCTCGCTGAAGTGCAGTGGCACAATCTCGGCTAGCTGCAACATCTGCCTCCCATGTTCAAGTGATTCTCCTGTCTCAGCCTCCTGAGTAGCTGGGATTACAGGCATGCACCACCATGCCTGGCTACTTTTGGTATTTTTAGTAGAGACGGGGTTTCACCACGTTGGCCAGGCTGGTCTTGAACTCCTGACCTAAGTGATCCGCCCGCCTTGGTCCCCCAAGTGCTGGGATTACAGGCGTGAGCCACCATGCCCGGCCAATATTTCTTAAAGTAAGACCTGAAAGTATGTTTCATGTGAGGAAAAAGGTATGCTACTATTGTTGATGTCAGCAAAGACTCTAGAGATAGGCAGAATAAAGCCTAAGCTTCTTTCATTCCTTTCTTGTGGATCTTTAGGCTCAGCTTCAGAACTGAAACATGAGTGTGATCGTAATCCCTATATCTTGGCATGCTGTGAGGATTACTAATAATACTCAAAGCCTGTGATGAATAGAAGGTATATACTAACTACTAAATTAGTAGTTGATAATACTGACAGCTTTTTCTAAGTAATTGCAATATGTATCATTTGCACCAATTGAATGATGTATCATTACTTTATATATGACACTGGAATAATAAAACTACTTACCGATTATGCCACAGATCATTCTTATCACTTAACATTTTTTCTTATAATTGTTGAAAAAACTTTTCAATCTATATAAATGTAGACATTTGTCTTATATAAATCGTGTGATTACATGAGATGGAAACTATAAGCAGAATACATTAACAAAGTGAATTCTGAAATATCTCCCATGAAAAGATAAAGTTTTCTGAAATAGTTTTTAATTCATCCTCTCCATGATTTGTCCCATACAAACATCATTTGTCCTTATCAGAAGCTGTGATGATGCCACTTTTGTTATGAGGGTCACGTGACAGTCTCCATGAGATTATCTTTCCAAAATACTTACAGCCCCTCTGCAACTTTTGATGTTGATGATCTCACTGGAATGTGTCAATGGAAGGTTTTTAGACCAAGTGCATGTTCACATGAGGCTAATCACATCATGACTGCCTCCTCACAGTGGTGTTTTCATTATCATTTTTGAGATACAACCCTATTTGAGAAATGTGAGTTGTATAATCTGGCTTCAATGAAATACACTATTTTTTCTCTGTGACTCCTTCCTCCTCACTGTAAAATCATGGGGTTTATCTGCTGTATTTTGGTCTATTATTGAGAAACTTTTTTTTTTTTTTGAGATGTAGTCTTGCTCTGTCGCCAGGCTGGAGTGCAGTGGCATGATCTCAGCTCACTGCAACCTCTGCCTCCTGGGTTCAATCAATTCCCCTGCCTCAGCCTCCCAAGTAGCTGTGACTACAGGTGCCCGCCATCACACCCAGCTAATTTTTTGTATTTTAGTAGAGACGGGGTTTCACCATGTTGGCCAGGATGGTCTCCATCTCCTGACCTCCTGATCCGCCCACCTGGGACTCACAAAGTGCTGGGATTACAGGCATGAGCCACCGCACCCAGCCGAGAAAACATTCTTAAATATAGTTTAATATATATTGGCCAACTCCATTTGTCTTCTACTGAGGGATTAGAGATTTTAGAGTTATTAGTAGATTACTGGAACTCTTAAGTACTATAGTAAATTATTATAACTTTATATTGCTCAGGCATCCATTTTGAATAGAGATTTAACTTATTCAAAAAGCAGGGTTTAATCACCTAAGGCAAGGTTGCTAGTTTTTCACCTTCTCCCTGTTCCTTGGTGGGGTCTATCCAGACCCCTTCCACAACCTTCCACAACCACATCCTGGTGATGGCCTCTGTGGGACAGCTAGGTATAACACTTGTCTCACTTGGCTGACCCCTCACAACCCACATTTACTATGCAGTTATGCCTCAGTGACCCCCTCAGTCACAGTGTGCCCCCCAGAGCTCTTACCTACTTGCTCTAAACCCACCACTTAGAACTCCCCAATGGAAGCCTGTATGAGTCATGCGCTGAACCCCAGTAGACGCTTTGGCCCTCTGGTCACTCCCTGTTTCTCTCTCTTGCTCACCTCCAGCTGGCTGCCTGTAATCGTCCCAGATGAATTTTCCCTTCCAGCTGCCCTGGAAGGGAATGCTGCCCTGTTCTCTCTATCTGGAAGTAATAAACGGTTCCTGTGCTTTCATGTGTTCTGTTATTTCCTGTGTGTCTCACTTAACCTAACAACCAAACCTAAACCTAACTTCTTTTTCACTCAGCGTTCTCTTAGAGAATGCCTATCATAGCTGGGCATGGTGGCTCATGCCTGTAATCCTAGCACTTTGGGAGGCCGAGGCGGGCAGATAACTTGAGGTCAGGAGTTCGAGACCGGCACGGCCAACATGATGAAACCCCATCTCTACTAAAAAAACACAAAAATCAGCAGGGCATGGTGGTGCACACCTATAGTCCCAGCTACTTGGGAGGCTGAGGCAGGAGAATCGCTTGAACCTGGGAGGTGGAGATTGCAGTGAGTCGAAATCATGCCACTGCATTCCAGCCTAAGCTTCACAGTGAGATTCCGTCTCAAAAAAATAAAATAAATAAATAAATAAAAGAGAATGCCTATCATGGTAGCAATAGACGAGATGTGGGTCAGACAAAAACCACTAGGGCATCTGCGAGCATAAACAAGTTTCCTGTGAGGGGCCGGGCATGGTGGCTCACGCCTGTTATCGCACCACTGTGGGAGGCCGAGGCGGGCAGATCACCTGAGATCAGGAGTTTGAGACCAGCCTGACCAATATGGAGAAACCCCGTCTCTACTAAAAATACAAAATTAGTCAGGCATGGTGGCGCATGCTTGTAATCCCAGCTACTCAGGAGGCTGAGGCAGAAGAATCGCTTGAACCAGGGAGGTGGAGGGTGGAGGTTGCGGTGAGCCGAGATTGCGCCACTGTACTCCGGCCTGGGCAACAAGAGTGAAACTCCATCTCAAAAAAAAAAAAAAAAAAAAAATCTCAGGTTGAAATTTCATCCCCAGTATGGTCATGTTGGGTAGTGGAGCCTAATTAGAGCTGTTTGGGTCCGGGGGGCAGCTCCCTCATAAATAGATTAATTCTCTCCCGAAGGGTGAGTTCTCACCTTATTAGCTCTCTCAAGATACCACTGTAAAAAGAGCCTGGCATCTCCCCCGGTTCCTGCTTCCTCTCTCATCCTGTAATCTCTGCACATACCGGGTCCCTTTTGCCTTCCACCAAGACCTGAAGCAGCCTGAGGCCCTCATCAGACGCAGACACCCAATCTGGAGCCTTTTCAGTCATCAGAATTGTGAGCCAAATAAACCTTTAACAAATAAATTACCCAGTCTCAGGCATTCTGTTATAGCAACAGGAAACAGACTAGTACACCATTTGTTTGTCTAATCACATGGATAGTGATCATACAAGTTATTTTAAACTCAGTCACTGCATAAGCAGGTATAGCATGGTTTTCATACAATATTTTGCTCTGTTCATTTGCTACTCTGGCCAAATATACTTTTGAGTTCTTGGAAACTGGAATGGACTTTGTTGTTCTCTGATGAATATATTGAAGAAAAAGAAACCCATAGAATTCATAGAATTAATGATTTAGGAGGTTGACTTTTTTTACCTAGACTTTTAGGTTCCAGGAAGATTCAATAAAGTTAACATAAATTCCTGATCTCAAACATATAAGCCATGTCTCCAGTTGCTTCTATGCTCTTTTCAGACTTGAGTGTAGACACAAGGCAGTGGGTTCTTGCCTCATGGTGTGCTATGACTTTTGGTTCTTTGCCATGGTATGTTTCTGGGAATTCTGGTGGAAAGGCACACCTCTGGGGAATCTGGCCACAGATAGTTTAGGTTGTGGAAAATCATATCCTCCATGCTGTCAGAGAGTTAGGGACTTTGCTCAGCACTGTGTCCTCTTTGCCTGGGGTATCGTGTTAGCTTGGTTTTGTGTCTATCATCTGTTCTGTCTTCACTCTGAGTACTCAGAGCTCATTGAACCTCATTCACCACTTAGAGATGGGTCACTCCTTGTTCATTTCTACTTCTTTCTCCTTTATGGCCTTCCAATCTGTCTTTTTCTGAAGAATTTGGTGAAGGATGATATTCCATGTATACATCATAATAAATTTTAATGTGTGCATTAGAATGAAGAGAAAAAGGGGGATTTGACAAGTCACTTAGTTTAAATACTGTGATTAAAGTGGTATGAATTTAATAACCCTCCATGTTTAAGGTTTAAATTTTAAATGAGCCTATCACTTCTCAATGAGTAAAATATGAGCTCATGGGGTGAAAACGTTTCTTGTGCAAATGCCTAAAATAACAGCACCTAAATAATGGCTATCCTGATATCAGAAGTAAAAAATGTGGTTCAGATCAGGTGTAGCTCCCACTCCAAGTCTCCAGCCTGCTCCTTTCATCAATACAGTTATGAATGTGATATGAAGAATATACTCCATGATTACAGATCATAAAAGCAAAATCTTGACTTTGTAGATATCCATGGATCACAGCCTGCAGTCCCCTGACTTTGTAGGCTTTGTAGGCATGTTTCCCAGAAACAACCCAATGCTCTCCAGCAGAGTGCTGGAGCTGTGTAGGGAGTGGGTGGACAGCCCTCCTTGCTGTGGGATTTTTGTTTAGCCAGCACAAAAGCAGAGTCATCATTCAGCCCATGTCCATCTCTTAGACTGGTGCATGGATTGTTGCATGAAGTCCTTCTATTCTGTGGCTTTGAGGCTTGACCATGTATAATATAATTTCACAGAATACACGATACCATAAAATCATTATGGAATCTGTAGAATAGAAAACCTGAATTATAACAGGGTTTTCTCAAAGCTTTTACACAGCTTTATTTTGAAAACTTTATGAAAGAAATCCTCTACCAAGAAAACACTATGTGGAATGCAGAAATTTGATTTATGTTCCCTATCACTTAAATTTCTCAATCTTGACTTTTAATGTCCAGCAGTCATGTCTTAGGCTTCAGTGGGAGTCTGCAGATAGACTGCCAGAGGGTGTGTGAAAATGGGAGTCTCTGAGATATGGGAGGTAAATGCACCTATCTTTGAAGAAATGGTTACTGACCCTCAGACTAGTGACAGGGTAATAAGGAGTCTAAAGGGAAAGAAGAAAGCGAAAGAGAATCGCCAGTGTTGTGGTTGTTTTCCTGAAGCAGGTGTGCGTGATTTTGGAATGGTGGATAGACAAGGGAAGGTGATTTGTTGTTCTCTCTCAACATGTGCATTCACCTTCTGAACCCAAGGTTTCTTATTTATATATTTGGTTTGATTTTGCTTATTTTGGTGCCAAGTTAATACCTTTTAAAAACAATTTTATTTTGAAATAATTTTAGAAATAGAGAATTTTGCAAGGATAGTATAGAAAGCTGCATATATCCTTTAGCTTACTGTAATGTTAACATTTTATATAACCATAGTAAATTCATGAAAACTGAGGATATAACAATGGTACAAAACCATTAATTGAACTCCTGAATTTCTGACTGCTTTACAAGGTTTTAACATAGTCAACTCTCTGTTCGAGGACCCAATCTAGGCTATCACGTTACATTCAGTTGTCAGGTATATTATTTATTTCTACATAAAAATAACCATGCAACTTAGTGGCTCAAAACCACACACATACTACTGATAGTTTCTCCAGATCAGGACCCCAGATATTGATGATGCCCAAGACTGAGGTCTCAACCGAAGGCTCACCTGGGTAAGGATCCACTTCCAATCTCATGTAATCATTAGAATTCAATTTCATGCCAAGGTCAAGAGGACTTCACTTGTGAGTTGTTTCAGATGTTTAAAGAATTAATCTTAATACTTCTCAAACTCTTACCAAAAACAAACAAAACAACAACAACAACAACAAAAAGTAACCAGAATAGAATAAATCGCTTTCCAACTCATTCTATAAGGCCAGTTTATCTTCATACCAAAACTAGAAAAAGATAAGAGAATAAAATTACAGCCCAATATTCCTCATGACTATGACTACTTTTGCTTTATGGCAAAAATATTCAAGGAAATATTAGCAAAAACTAATTCCTGCAGTATATAAATATAAGTATACACCATGATCAAGGAAATATAATACAGAAATGTAAGTTTAGTTAAATACTGAAAGATTTGGTATAGAAGGAAACATTATTTAAAATGGCAACCCCAAAAGTCTCATAGGGCTTCATATATTTCTCTTGAAAGACTCACAATTTTCCCAAGATTAGACACAAGACAACGATGTTGACTCTTCCCACTTCTATTCAACCATGTTTCTTCAATATTGTATTGGAGACTCTATCCAGGGCAATGAGGCCAGAAAAATAAACATGAGGCATCCTGACTGGAAATAAAGTCAAATACTTCTATTTGCAAATGAAATAATCTTCTATAGAGAAAATCCTAAGGAATCCATTAAAATATGGTTAAAACTAAATAAGTTCAGTAAAGTTGCAGTACACAAGGTGAATATTAAAGATTCAGTGTCATTTGTGTACATTAATCCAATTAACAACATAAAAATGAAATTAGGAAAACAGTTCATTTAAACAAGCATCAAGAAGAAAAAATACTTATGAATAAATGTATGATATGTACACTGAAAACTACATATTGAGTTAAATTTAATAACTAAATAAATTGAAACATACTACATATCCATTAATGAGAAGGCTTAATATTTTTAAGAGAGCAATACTTTCCAATAGGATATATAGATACAATGCAATCCCTATAAAAAGTCCAGCTGCCTTTTTGTGCAGTAATAAGCTGATGTGAAAATCTATATGGAAATGCAAGAGGTCTATAATAGCTAAAACAATCTAAAAACAATAACAAAATTGGAGTACTCTACTCCTACATCCTGATTTCAAAACTTACTACAATGAAACAGTAAACAATACATTGTAATACTGGTGTAAGAGTAAACATATAGATCAATGAAATAGAATCAAGTGTACAAAAATTAACCCTTACATTTATGATCAACTGATTTTACAATATTACCAAGACAATTCAATAGGGTAAAAGTTTGTTTCAACAAATGTGGGACAAATAGATACCCATATGAAAGTTATACTCCTCCCTGATACTATGTACATGTTAGACTGAAAACGGATCATAGATCAAAATGTAGGCGCTAAAACCACAAAACCCATGAAAGATAATATATGAGTCAATCTTGGTGGTCTTAGGTTACACAATAGTTTCTATGACATGACACCAAAAATACAAGTGACAGAAAAAATATATGGCTATATTGAACTTAACAGAATTTTTAAAATTATTATTCAAAATACACCATTAACAAGTGAAAATACAACTCAGAAACTGAATAAAAAATTTGCAAAACATATAGCAGATAAAGGTGTATGTTTCAGAATATATAAAATATGCTTACTACTAAAAAAACAAATATAAAAAGGCAAAATCTCAAATAAAAATAGGTAAATCATTTGAATAGACACTTCTCCAAATAAGCTATACCAATGTCCAATAAGCACATGAAAAGATGCTCAACACTTTGAGTCTTTAGGGAAATGCAAATCTAAACAACCATGAGATGCATTGCACAAATCTGAAAGGCCTATTACTAAGTAAAAGAGAGTCAAGTTTGAAAAGACTACATACTTTGTCATTCCATTTATATGGCACTCTTGAAAAAGTGAAACTACAGAGATAATAAAGAGATTAGTTGTTACAAGGGGCTTGGGAGAGAGAAGAAGGTCAAATAAGTGAAAGTACAGTGGGTTTCTATAGGGCAATTAAATTCTCTATGGTACTGTAATGGTGGATATCCGATACTGTTTGTAAAACCCAGCAGAATTTTTTTTTTTTTTTTGAGATGGAGTCTCGCTCTGTCACCCAGGCTGGAGTGCAGTGGCGCAATCTCAGCTCACTGCAACCTCTGCCTCCTGGGTTCAAGCAATTCTCCTGCCTCAGCCTCTCGAGTAGCTGGGATTACAGGTGTGCACCACCACGCCTGGCTAATTTTTGTGTTTTTAGTAGAGACGGGGTTTCATGTTGGCCAGGATGGTTTCAAACTCCTGGCCTCAGATGATCGACCCACCTCGGCCTCCCAAAGTGCTGGGATTACAGGACTGAGCCACCACGCCTGGCCAGAAATGTATAACACGAAGAATGAACCTAAATGTATACAAATTAAAAATAAAATATGTGCTAAGTTGGGGGAATCCCAGGGAGGGACGCAGAAAAAGAAATATAAATATATTAACGTGTACGAAATAACCTCACTGAAGAAAATGGTAGCAATCAGGGCTCAGTGAAGACATTTAGGAAATAAGTGGAGATTCAAAGCCTAAAGGACAAAGGAGATGTATGTATATGCTATGTTTATTTGTAAAGTTGCTCTCCCTGAGGGT